>NC_000002.12:24176422-24327937 GCF_000001405.40 Homo sapiens | reverse complement strand
AGTATTCTTGGAAAATATTTTGGAACACTGCATATGTCTTCTGTAAGAATATTATGTTGTAAATCCCATGACTATATTCTGGAACGTGTGTTTGCCATTGAGCAGTTAGGAATAACCAAAAGGTATATTGTGTTTGATGCATAAAACTGGATGACAAATAGCAGAGTGCTATAAGGTGACTATTAAAGGTATTTTGATAACATAACATGATTGTAAACCGATGAAGCCAATAAAGATTAATTTAGTAATATTTATGTAAGATTATGTTTTCCCTTTAGATAAGATTATGTATGCCTGCATACATAATTGTTTAATATCAAACATTTTAAAAGAAAGTGCTGGCCGGGTGTGGTGGCTCATGCCTGTAATTACAGCACTTTGTGAGGCTGAGGAGGGAGATCACTTGAGGTCAGGAGTTCGAGACCAGCCTGGTCAACATGGTGAAACCCAATCTCTACTAAAAATACAAAAACTAGCCGAGTGTGGTCATGGGCACCTGTAATCCCAGCTGCTTGGGAGGTTGAGGCAGGAGAATCACTTGAACTACCCGGGAGGTGGTGGTTGCAGTGTACCGAGATAGGGCCACTACACTCCAGCCTGGGAAAGAGTGAGACTCCATTTAAAAAAAAAAGAAAAAGAAAAAGAAAAAGAAAATGCTTAGGTAATTTGAATAATGAAAAGTTTTTAAAGTTTTGTTCTGATTGTAGCTTTAATTCTTTTCCCAAATACTAATTAACTACCCTTAGTAGGTATTAAGTTACTGTGTTTGTCATTTATAATTAATTGAAAAACATGCATTATATTTTTAAATCGCTAAAGAAATCTAGATTCTGAATTCTTAATTTTATGTTAAATTGTATTAGCTAATTGTAGATAAATATCAGGAAATAGAGAATAAACTCAATAATTCTTTATTATTTAAATTGAAAACAGTAATATTAAAGAGCATTTAAAAAAAGGAGGGAAGAATCACCATTCTACCATCTTCACAAAGCAATTCTGTTTTGATATTACCGTCTAGTGTTAATCAGTTGTTTTTTAAACTTGTTTTCAGACATAGGACCAAATCATTACATTGTTAATAACGAAAATACATGTTGTATATCTAAAGTTTTATGTCTCAGGATTTAGGAAAATCTTGGAGAAGTGAATTATTTGTATAAAAAGTAAAATCAAATTCTGTGTGGTGAGGTCATGTGTCATTTAAGGATAGACTTGAAGTAAAGATTTTGTTGTTTCGTGTTTTACCTTTTCAGAACCTATTATTTAAGGATTAATGTGAGTATTGCTCCTATTGGGAAAATGGTGTGGGATTATAAACATTGATGCCACAGACAATTTTTAATAATTAAATAATTTTTCCATAATGAGTGATACATGTAAGTTTAAAATTAGGGCAGTGATTGTAGTAGTAACATGCTCTACTCAAGTTTGAGGATTTTTATGCCCCATACAAAGGAATTTGCATTAAACAGTTGAATTGTAAACTTCAGCCAACATGTTAATCAGTTTTATAAGCAAAATGAACATAAAGCAGTACAGTCCCGGTCCTTCTTTATTCTGCTTCTTCCATTCCATAAACATTTATATATCTACTTTGCAGTTCATTGCATTATATATAAAATATAACATTGAGAACAAATGGACTATTCAATAACAAAAGAATGATTATGTGAATAATCATCTAAAATGTTGGAAAATGCATTTAGAAGTGCTATATAGGCATACAGATAGTAATTTTTTTTAAACTTCTGAAGAATTAATTGCATATGTAGACTGTGGTACCTTCCTACTTAGAAGATTGACGATAACTTAGACATATCTAATTTAAGTTCAATTCAGGGTTTAAGATGTTACTGAGAGCAGCATTCATGTATAGTACAAAACTTTGCTCCTCTAGTAATCCTGACATAGATTGTTAAATTGTTTTGATGCCCATTGCTATTGGGACTTGTCTGTAAGTATGCCTGTGTGTGAATGTGTATGTGTGTGTGTATGTGTGTGTGTGTATGTATATACGTGTGTGTGTAAAAACCGAGATGAGACTACTTACTGAATGAGATCTAGCCTATAGTAGATGTTCTGTAAATGTGAAAATTTTTTTCTTCACTGACTATAAGAACTTGTTTGAAAGAGCCAGCAAGTGAGATGAGAATAAGCAACAGAAATGTTTATGAAAATCCCATATTTTCAATATCAGTGATGAGTTAGGGGAAGCGGATAGAATTTTAATGTATTTCTAACACGATTATTACATATTGTAAAAGTTTGTTAGCTTTTTAGGGAAATATTAGACATCAACCCCTAAACTTAGATTTTTCTGCCTCTTCGATAAGGCTTACAGATAAATATAGACTAAGATTGGGAGATTTTTACTTGAAGTTCAAAGTAACAAACTTTTGCCTTTTCAAAGGGTTCTGTTAGTTGATATATTTAAATAAGAAAGCCAGGACTGAATTAACTATTTTAAAATTGGCTTTGAATTACACGTATTGCCCAGTTTTCTTATTGCAGTGTTTTGTTTTTTGAGACAGGGTCTCCACTCTGTTGCCCAGGTTGGAGTGTAGTGGTATGAACACAGCTCACTGCAGCCTCGACTTGCTAGATTCAAGCAATCCTCCTGCCTCTGCTTCCTGAGTAGCTGGGACCACAGGTGTGAGCCACCACACCCAGCTAATTTTTAGATTTTTTGTAGACATGGGGGTCTCACTATCTTGTCCAAGCTGGTCTTGAACTCTTGGGCTCAAGAAGTCCTCCACCTTAGCCTCCCAAAGTGCTTGGATTACAGGCATGAGCCATCACACCTGACCAGTGTTATCTTTTTGTTCCTAGAAAATTCTTGGTGCATTAATACTTTATGTTTTAATATGATTAATTTTTTAAAAGGTTATTTGAACACTACTTAAAAATTATTCCTTGTTAAAATGCCTTAGAACATTTTTATTCTCTTGGTTACATTAATCATGATAATATGTAACCGTGATTGTTGTGTGTGATTTTCTTGGCTGGTAGAGTCTCTTTAAAATATTAGAGTCTGTGAGTTCTTTTAAGGTGTTCATTTTTTTTTTTTTTTTTTTTTTTTTTGAGACAGGGTCTTACTCTGTCAACCCAGCCTGGAGTACAGTGGCATGAACATTGCTCACTGCAATCTCAACCTCCAGGCTCAAGCAATTCCTTCTGCCTCAGCCTCCAGAGTAACTGGGACTACAGACATGTGCCACCAAGACCAGCTACTTAAAAGAATTTTTTTTTTAGAGATAGGGGTCTCACTATGTTGACCAGGCTGGTCTCAACTCCTGGGCTCAAGTGATCCTCCTGCCCTAGCCTTCTGAAGTGCTGGGCTGTGCCCAGGCAAGTGGTTCATTTTATTCATCTTTGTACCCCATAAACATTTACTGAATGAATGAATATGAAGGTGTCAAGATTACTGATTGGAGACATGAGGAACTAAGCAGTAAACAAACAGATGGGTTGAGTTTAGCCCCTGTGAAAACACATAGCCAAGGAAATGTCAGGAGATAGTAATATATATAAGAAAGCATCATACTGTGATGAGCATTGGTGCATCAATCTTGATGCAGCAGAACTCTCTTTTGTCTTAGGATAGCAGTAGAGTCCATCACTGCCCGGGGGTATATATACCCATGTATGTTAGAGCAGCTTTTTAAAAAAAATTTAATTTAATTTAATTTAATTTAATTTTTTTGAGACGGAGTCTCGCTCTGTCTCCCAGGCTGGAGTGCAGTGGCATGATCTCTGCTCACTGCAAGCTCCGCCTACTGGGTTCACGCCGTTCTCCTGCCTCAGCCTCCCGAGTAGCTGGGACTACAGGCGCTCACCACCACGCCTAGCTAAGTTTTTGTATTTTTAGTAGAGATGGGGTTTCACCACGTTAGCCAGGATGGTCTCCATCTCCTGACCTCGTGATCCACCCGCCTTGGCCTCCCAAAGTGCTGGGATTACAGGTGTGAGCCACCATGCCTGGCCGAGCAGCTTTTAAGCCTTCTTAACCAAACTCTTCAGACTTAAAATAGTCTTAAGGTTTCTAACTAAAGAGCCTTAGTTTCAGGCTATTCCCTGAGAAAGATTTGAATGCTCTGACTTCTTTTTAATTATATTGTTCCCTGGGATTGGGTTGAATAAGGAAACTAATTTATTGAGGACTCCTAATATGGCAGGCATGTATTAGATGCTTTATATTTTTGTTTTAGTTTATTTTAAAGTTGGGTTTATTGGGGGTATAATTCACCCTTTTAAAGTATACGGTTCGATGAGTTTCTAAAACTATATATAGTCATATAAATTAGGATATAAAACATTTGCATCACCTAAAAAGTTCTCTGTACCCTTATACCTCCACCTTTAGCCATGTATTATTGGCAACCACTAATCAGATTTCTGTCCTTACAGTTCTGCCTTTTCCAGAATGTCATATAAATGGAATACACAATATGTAGCCTTTGGTGTCTGGCTTCTGTGACTTAGCAAAATATCTTTGTGATTCAGTCATAATGTTGCATGCATTTCTCCTGTTTACTGCTGAATAGTAGTCCATTGTATAAATGTGTACCACAATTTATTTATCCATTCAGCCGTTCAGGTGCAGAACATTTGGGTTATTTCCAGGTTTTAGTGATTATGACTAAATCTGCTATAACCATCAGAGAACAGGTTTTTATGTGGAAATAGGTCTTCGTTTCTCTTGGGTATTTACCCAAGAGTCTTTTGTTAATACTCAGTCTATTGTTGGGTCATGTGGAAATATATATTTAACTTCATAAGAAATTCCCAAACTGTTTTCCAAAGTGACTGTCACATTTGCTTTCCCACCAGCATATATGAGTTGCGGTTGTTTGGCATCTTTATCAGCACTCCGTGTTGTTTTTTTTTTTAATTTTCAGACATGCTAATAGACATGCAGTGATACCTTTTTGTGATTTTAATTTACATTTCCCTGATGATAGTGATATTGAGCATCTTGTCACGTGCTTATTTGCCATCTGTATATCTTTGATGTGTCTGTTCAAATCTTTTGTTCCTTTTTTTTGAGGGGGGGGATTATTTTCTAATTTTTGAGTTGAATAGTTCTGTATATATGCTGACCTATATTTATTGAATATGTTTTGCAAATGTTTTCTCTCAGCCTGTAGTTTGTCTTTTCCTTTTCTTAAGAGTGTCCTTTAAGAGAGTGGAAATTTTAGATTTTTATAAAGTCCAGTTTGTCAAAATATTTTAATGATTTTTGCCTTTTGTGTTCCAAAAAGTCATTGCATAATCCAAAATCACAAACATTTTCTTCCATATTTTCTTCAGGAAGTTTTATCTTATATCTAGTTCTGTGATTCATTGAGAGTTAATTCATGTATATGCTGGAAGGTTGAGGTTCTTTTGTTGTTTTTTCATATGGATATCCAGTTCTTTCAGCACCATTTGATGAAAGGACTGTTTTCCACCTTGAATTATCTCCACATGTTGTTGGAAATCAATGGACAATATATTTGTGAGTGTATTTATGTTTAATTACCAACAAGACAGATAGTTTAAGACTCTTAATTAAGCCTGAGTAGACGCTAGTCTTGCCTTCAACACTTACCAATTTTATTACCTTGGGCAAATTATTTAATATCTCTGTACCACTGTTTCCTTCTCTGATAAACAGTGATAGCAATAGTTACCTCATGGGATTCTTATGAGACTTACTTGAAGCAATACATGTAAAGCTCTTAGAAAAGTACCTGACACAGGGTGAGTTTCATTAAGTGTTAGCTATAATGGAGGTATATTACATGTAATCTTTACAACAGGCCTGTGGAGTTATATAATATTCCTAGTTTATAGAGGTGGCATCTGAATTAGAAGGAACATGAGCATCTTACCCATATATGTTGGTACATAGTTAGTGCTGAGTTCAATATGGAGGCTTTGGAGTCAGGCTACCCAGGTTCTAATCTCAGCTCTGTCACTTACTGTATGACCTTGAGCAAGTTACTTTATTACCATGGGTTTTCAGTTTCCTTACCTATAAAATGAGAATAATAATAGTACTTTAATTTATAGGTTAATGCTGGGGGCTCAGTGAGTTGCTGCATATAAAGTCCCTGACAATAGTCAGGGTTCAATAAAGGTGAGCTGCTTCCATCTTTGTCATCCTTTGTTGTTGTCATTTTTGTTGTTTTTAAAATCAGCATCATAATTTTTCTGAAGTCATATAATAGAAAATCAGTTCTGTGGCTATACTACTTGCCTTCCTAGTGACAGGAATCCTGACAGGTTTATTTATTTATTTTCTGATAAACTGATAACCCAAGTAGGATTTTTACTACATATGTGGTATTTCTTTATTTAGAAAGTGTGTAGGTTTAGCTATTTTAGGTCCTTAGTTCTTCAGTACATCTGTTTCTTTATTTTTAACTATAATCTTAAAACTTCTCTTTAAGAGAGGATATTTATAGATTTTTTAATCCAGTCATTTAGGACTAAGAATAATTTGTTAAATCCATATTAGTGTTAAAAATTACAGTGAGCACCTACTTTTCAATGATATACGTTCCTGGAAAATTGTCTTTGTAAGGCAGATTTTTATACAATACAAGCAGGAATTATGTATGAGTTTATATACCTAAACGTATTTGATTCCTTATTGGCAGAAATGGAATAAATTGTAAAGGTAGTCAGAAGTATAGATGGTGATTAGTCATGTTGAATGTGCAGAGCTTTACAAAAACCTCAGAGAGCTGGCGGACAACAAAAAGCTAATCCCAAGCTCGGGAAGAAACCCCTGTATTTGCAATGCAGACATCCTCAGAGATAGTCTGGAACAAAAGCTATCAATCCTTTGCTTTAGAAGATGTACAGAAACATGAGAAACTCATGGAGAATTGTCTCCCAAGGGTTCCTCTCCCTTGTTTCTCCATTGTCTTGACTTCTAGCAAATTTTCTCATGAGTGTACATACCACTAAGTTGGCCACTCCGATTAATCTGACAAAACGGGCTGGGACTAAGTCTGATTTATTTTATGCAGCATTTGATTAAGACTAATCAACAGGACTCCAAGCAGCAGGTTGGTCTCAGCTTGCAGTGTTCTCAGCTGTGCTCTGCAGGGTCCCAGCTAAACAAATCCTATAAATCATCAGTGTCTCCCTTAGAAAGCCAGGTGGCTTTCTCCTTAAAAAACAATGTTTTTTTGTTTTTTTTTTTTTTGGTGGTTGTTGTTGTTGTTTGTTTTTTGTTGAGACAGGGTCTTGTTCTGTAACCCAGACAGTGGTGTGATCAGTGCTCCCTGCAGCCTTGATCTCCTGGGCTCAAGCAATCCTTCTACCTCAGCCTCCCAAGTAGCTGGGATTACAGGTGTGAGCCACCACCACTGGCTAATTTTTTTTTTTTTTTTTTTTTTTTTTTTTTTTTTTTTTTTGAGACGGAGTCTCGCTCTGTCGCCCAGGCCGGACTGCGGACTGCAGTGGCGCAATCTCGGCTCACTGCAAGCTCCGCTTCCTGGGTTCACGCCATTCTCCTGCCTCAGCCTCCCGAGTAGCTGGGACTACAGGCGCCCGCCACCGCGCCCGGCTAATTTTTTGTATTTTTAGTAGAGACGGGGTTTCACCTTGTTAGCCAGGATGGTCTCGATCTCCTGACCTCATGATCCACCCTCCTCGGCCTCCCAAAGTGCTGGGATTACAGGCGTGAGCCACCGCGCCCAGCCTGGCTAATTTTTTTAAGTTTTTTTGTAGAGATGGGGTCTCACTATGTTGCCCAGGCTGGTCTCAAACTCCTGAGCTCAAGGGATCCTCCTGCCTCAGCCTCCCAAAATACTGGGATTAGGTGTGCACCACCATGTCCGGCCTCTCCTTAAGTTTTATTTTAACTTTTCTACCTGGCCTGAATCAGTAATCTGGGTACAGCAGAGTGTATTCATAATTGCACACACTTTATCTTAGCCTGCAAAAAAAGAAAATCTAGGATAAATCTCTGACAACCCTAGCCAGTGAGTTGAGGCTGACCTGAATGCCTTCCAGGACTGAGGAAGTGTTTTTTTAAACACTTGAAGATCTCTTCATGTACATTACTGTGTTTTTGGAGGGAGGCAAGTTAATGCATGGTTTCCACAGAAGAAGTAGAAGATCAAGGGTGTGCATGGGTTATGCTTGGAAAGAAAATGTTTACAGTTATTCCCCCTGCAACCCCTACTGCCGTGGGACCTACATCAGAAGAGGGGCACAGGTTGATAGTGCCTCTAACATAGCCTCCTGGATGACTGGCAAGTCTGAGGGTTTCCAGTGGAGTTTGAGTAATTGAGTCTAGTCCTTGTTTTTGGAGGGATTGCCCAAATTAGTCCCACTTGTTTTGTTTGTCCTCGCCACCAGCTGGGTGGAATTCATCCATTACTGAGATTGGGGGTGGGGGAAGACCTCTGGAAGTGATATGGACAGGAGATACATTTTCTGGGGTCATTCCTGATGTTCCTGATAGACTCTTGATAAGGCTCCTGATGGGGGATGGCAGACTCATAAGGTGCTTCCAACAATTTAGGAGAGCCATACCAAGGCATTTTTCTTGCAGAAGAAGGCTACAGGGGCAGTTCTACAAGAGAAAATATCATTAATTCCTCTCTTAATACCATACCTCCTGGGGTCTAAGGCGTTTCTTCCTCAGGTGCCTTCTTGTTGCTCTACTGCCATTAAACCTGGGTTTCTCATTTCAGAGCCATAACTTTACCATTTCCTAGTGATCCAGAAGAGTTAGATGTAAGAGGGACATTTTCATAAACCCTAACCAGAATTAACTTTGAATCCTCTAGATCACTGGTCCCCAACCTTTTTGGCACCAGGGACCAGTTTCATGGAAGACAATTTTTCCACAGATTTGTGGTAGGGTGGTGGGAGGGGGTTGGTTTTAGGATGAAACTGCTCCACTGCAGATCATCAGGCATTAGATTCTCATAAGGAGCATGCAACCCAGATCCCTCACACACACAGTTCACAATAGGGTTTGTGCTCCTATGAGAATCTAATGCTGCCACTGATCTGACAGGAGGTGCCGCTCAGGTGGTAGTGCTCACTTGCCCACCGCTCACCTTCTGTGCGGCCAGGTTCCTAACAGGCCACAGACCAGTGCCAGTCCGTGGCCTGGGGGTTGGGAATTCCTGCTCTAGATCCCCTTTTACCTCAGTGGCCCAGCTGGAGGGTTTATGAACCAAGCCTGCCTACAGTTGCTGTTAGGGGCTAGAAAGATGCATCATGTCCAGGAGTGGTCAGAGTAGAATCCTGAATTTTCACAATAGGTCTGTATATCTCCTGTGATACCCCACCCTTTAGCCCTGATCATTAGGGAGGAAGCAGCTAATAAGCAATGAATCCTTTCTGGAGACAGCTACAGTCAGTGACCACACTATCTTACTTTAAAGTATGTGGACCAGGAGGAGGTGATGGAAATAGAGTCAGGCTGTCAGTGCATTGTTGAATGGCTTTTATGATAAAAGTGCATCCATGTCAGAATGCATATGGTCCAGAAAACCAAAAACATGACACAGATTATGGGAGGTCAAGGCAGGAGGATCACTTGAGCCCAGGAGTTCGAGACCAGCCTTGGCAGCATAGTGAGACCCCGTCTCTACAAAAAATACAAAAATTAGCCAGCTGTAGTCGCACGTACCTGTAGTCCCAGCTACTCAGGCGGCTGAGGTGGGAGAATCACTTGAGCCTGGGATGTCAAGGCTGCAGTGAGCCAAGGGTCACTCTGTACTCCAGCCTGGGCAACAGAGTGAGACCCTGTCTCTAAATTTTTTAAAAAAGAAACATGACACAGATTAGTTTCAAGGGCCATGACAGTGTGGGCATCGTGGGCTGATTGGTAACCTAAAAAAGTGTCAACAGGGGAATGTTTTAATGGGAGGGACTATGTGTCAGTGGGGTGGAAGGTATAGGAGAAATGTTTGTACCTTCTGCTCAATCTTGCCGTGAACCTAAAACTGCTCTAAAAAGTCTATGTGAAAAACAAAAAAATACTGTCAATAGTTTGAGGCACCACTGATAGCCTGAGAGAGGGAACAAAGGTCCAATATAGTCAGTCTGCCAGGAGTCAAAGGGAACAATGCCACCTGCAATGAGACCTCCCCCACCATCCCCAAGTCACAGTTTGGCATGCAGTGGTATCCTCTGCACATTAGTCATACTTGATTTCAGTCTAAATCAGAGGCTGGGCCCATACTGTAGGTGTCTACATAGGTGACACAGACAATTCAATTAGCAGTTGAGATTTGTTTTCAATTTGTAGCCCCAGGAGGGTGTCTTTAATCTGTCAATCTGTAATTTTCCAAGTGGCAAACCAAACAGCTGGGTCATTGGCAGCAGCCCAAGAATCCAGGTTCTGCCCATGTCTCCTTTCAGTTCAGCATAGCTGCCTCTGAGGCTGAATAGCCACTGCAGCCCAGTGAACACCAGCAACTTGCAGCTTCTCTGATCTGAGCCTTCATTGATCCAGTAGCTTTACTATAAGCAGTGGAATGTGCATAAAGGTTTCCCTCAGAGGGATAGTTGCCGCTTTTTTTTTTTTTTTGAGATTGCGTCTTGCCCTTGTCGGCGCAGGCTGGAGTGCTATGGCGTGATCTCAGCTCACTGCAACCTCCACCTCCCGGGTTCAAATGATCCTCTTGCCTCAGCCTCCTGAGTAGCTGGGACTACAGGCACCCACCATCACACCCAGCTAATTTGTTTTGTATTTTTAGTAGAGATGAGGTTTCGCCATGTTGACCAGGTTGGTCTTGAACTCCTGACCTCAGGTGATCCGCCCGCCTCGGCCTCCCAAAGTGCTGGGATTACAGGCGTGAGCCACCGCGCCCGGCCACTGCCACTTTTTAACGTAAAGCCAAAATACTGTTGGGGCCAGTGTCTATATCTTCTTTGATATACCATTTCTATTTGACAAACAAGGCTTTTCAGGTTATTCCCACCTTGTGGAATTCAAGTTGACCCTCCCCAAAATGGGACTATCAGGCTAGAGAATCACTAGGCCTTCGTGGGTCAAGCTTTCTGATCCCAAGGATTATCTCTAGGTGAAGGCTACTTCCTTTTGCTAGAGGCTCCGATGGGCAGAATCATCAGTCACAGTGCCTTGTGCTGTCTTCACTACCCAGAGTTTAATTCTGTTGGAGTTTACCAGCCACCACTGCAGGTGGAGGTATTAATTTAGCCAGTAGTTATATACCAGACTGTTAATGTCTTTGTTTTGACAAATGTACTATGGTTGTGTCAGTTGTTAACATAGTAGAAATTGGGTGAAAGGTATATAGGAGCCATGTACTATCTTTGTGAATTTTCTGTAAATCTAAAATTATTCCAAATTAAAAGCTTATTTAAAAACTGTCTGGGCGTGGTGGCTTACGCCTGTAATCCCAGCACTTTGGGAGGCCGAGGTGGGTGGATCATGAGGTCAGGAGATCAAGACCATCCTGGCCAACATGGTGAAACCCTGTCTCTACTAATAATACAAAAATTAGCCGGGTGTGTGGTGGCGCATGCCTGTAGTCCCAGCTACTTGGGAGGCTGAGGCAGGAGAATTGCTTGAACCCAGGAGGCGGAGGCTGCAGTGAGCCGAGATCACTCTGCTGCTCTCCAGCCTGGTGACAGAGCAAGACTTTGTCTCAAAATAAATAAATAAATAAATAATAAAATAATAAAAACTACTAGATGGCTCTCTATAACTTCCAGGGTATGGGGTCAGGCTCTTGAGGATGGTATTTAAGACCTTTTTACAGTTAATTCCACCCTACCTGTTTATTATTACTAACTCTAGTTATTAGTCTGCTCAGTGCACTTAACAGCACCTTGCACATGCCTTGACTTCTCATGCTGTGCCCTTATGGTGTGAAATGTTCTTATCCCTCCTCTTCACGTGGCAAAATTCAAACCAAGCTTCAAGGCTCTGCCTCAGTGTTACCTTTCCTGTTATCTCATCCTTGGTGCTTCTAACTCAGAATTGGCACAGCTGTTTTGGTATCTGTATTAGTCTGTTTTCACACTGCTATAAAGAACTAGCTGAGACTGAGTAATTTATGAAAAAAAGGGTTTAATTGACTCACAGTTCCACATGGCTGGAGAGGCCTCAGGAAACTTAAGGTGTAAGGCGAAGGGGATGCAAAGCACATCTTAACGTGGCAGCAGGAGAGAGAGAAGCAGCAAGGGGGGAAGTGCCACACTTTAAAACCATCAGCTATTGTGAGGAACTCACTCATTATCACAAAAACAACAAGGGAGAAATCAACTCCCATGATCCAGTCATCTCCCACCAGGCCCCTCCTCTGACACGTGGGGATTACAGTTCGAAATGAGGTTCTGGTGGGGACACAGGGCTAAACTATGGCAGTATATAGTTCTGCTTAGGATTTTTCACAGGTGAATACTGTAAGTACTGTTGTTTTCTAGAGCATGAATTCCTTGAGGGTGGGAATATTTTCTTCATCTTTTTATTGCCAGTATTTAGCTTGATGCCCATTTCCAGTGAGTGTGATATAGCACTTGTTCAATAGACGTTAATTGAGCCAATGAGTGAAAAGCCTTAGGGCTGTGCTATGTATGGTTATGATAGAGCTCTACTCTTTGTGTCACTCAAATATTAAATACTGTCATACAATGAACACTTGTGATTTCTATTTACATTTTAGAATTGTATTTTAAGCATTCTCATGTATACACTATAGTTTCTTCCACTTATGTTTCAGGAGGGCCAAACATGTGGGCTATTACCTCTGAAGAACGTACTAAGCATGACAGGCAGTTTGATAACCTCAAACCTTCAGGAGGTTACATAACAGGTTTGTATTTATAATTAGTTTTATTAGTGAATTATGGTCCTTATGTGATATCTAAGAATTAGTTTTAATTTGACTGCCATCAAATTTGTGTTAATAAACGATAAAATTCATATCAATCAGAATTCTAGAAATTAAAGAAATGCTAACTTTATTTTTCCTGGAACTGTCTTAATTTGTTGTTTTAAATTTGGGATATGGAAGATTTTTCCTGAATCCTAAATGATAGTCAAGAATTTCTGTGTAATTGTCTGGTTTCACATTTTAACATTATATCTAGAAAGTTTTCAGTTTATTTCTTAGATTCATTTCATGGAAAATCTAGACTTTTTTTTTCTGGAATCTGTTTTCCTAATGCTAGCCCTCTGTCTTTGAGGCTACACCAAGCACTGATTGTTGATGCTAGCCCTTGTTTTGCAGAAAGACCACCAGAGCCAAAATGGGATTAATTTAGGTGTGCCTTTGAAATTTTTTTCTATTAATTAAACTTTTTTCTGTGCCAAAGTAGCTTAGTGCTTTACATACAATAATAGTAACTATGAGAACAATGATATTTATTGAATTTTTACTATATACCAGATGCTATGCTAAGTGCATTATTTTATTTAACCTTTACAACAACCCTGTAAAGTAGGCACTGTTGTTGTCTATATTTACAAATAGTGAAACTGAGACTAAGAGACGTTATGTAACTGCCTAAGGTTACAAAGATGGTTAGTGTTAATCTGGGCTTTGAAACCATTTGGGCTGATTTTGGAATCCATCTACTTAACCATGTTATTTGTACTGCTATGATAGTAATTACCTTACCTGGTATCAGGATTTGATTACCCTGCTTACAGGTTAATAACTTTGTCCATTACGGGTGGAAGACCCAAGATTCCTGAGTCAGAGACAAAGAACCTTATGACTAACAGCATAACTAGCAAAATGAGCATTGGCATCTATCTTTCTGTTTCCTTTAGTGTTCCCTAAGTCCCACAGAGACAATGCAGAGAGCCCAGGAGAATAGTACACATGCTATGATTGTGTTACAGGAGAGGAACACTGAATTTGGGGAACCCACCCTTTTGTAGCAAGCAGTAAAGCAAGTTTGTCCCTTGTCTCAGTGGGAAACGTTACCGGATTCGTTAAGATTGCTCATTACAAACCCAATTCTGAGAAGTGACCCAGGCAGAGAGCAATTAGGGTCTTACATTATTGGTATACAGAGCAAGACACATAGGAGTGTGAAGAAACTCATGGAGGACTCTCTCTCCTAACACCTGGTACTTTTTATATTGAAACTCTTTTAGGGAATAGTGTTTTTAAATATAAATTTTACTAAGTGGAAGTATTTTTAAGGAAGACCCCAATTGTGGAAAAACTGAGATGAATCATCTTTCATCACTGATTAATATACAATAGAAGTGCAGATGTGACTTTTGTTTTAAAATATCTGTCTTATTAAAGTTATGTAAATAATTTTTATGTGTTTCTATTTCACTTATTCTTTAATGATTGGTATTAAAATTATAATAAATCATTAACATATACCCATTATTATTCAGAAGCATTGGAATAATTTCATTTACTAATGTGCTGCTTGGGTTTTGTTTTTATTACCTCCAGGTGATCAAGCACGTAATTTTTTCCTACAATCAGGTCTGCCGGCCCCTGTTTTAGCTGAAATATGGTAAAGTGTTTTGTAGATGAACCTAATTTTCTGATAGTATTTTGTTTTTTTGTAATATAGTGTTAACATAAAATTGTTTTTAGTTGCATTCTATTGGTTATTAAGAATATTTCTGCCAGCACTTTGGGAGTCTGAGGTAGGAGGATTGCTTGAGGCCAGGCTGGGCAACATAGTGAGAACCCTGTCTCTACAGAAAATTAAAAAAAAAATTAGCTGGGTGTGGTGGCCACACCTCTAGTCCCAGCTACTCAGGGAGGCCAAGATGGAAGGATTGCTTGAGCCCAGGAATTCAGTGCTGCAGTGAACTATGATTGTGTCACTGCACCCTAGCCTGGATGACAGAATGAGACTCTCTTTAGAAAAAAAAAAAAAAAAAAGGTATTTCTTCAGTTTTTTGGAAAATAAATTTTATTGAGCAAATTATTGAAAATAATTCAGGTTTAGTTCTCTAGGACAAATTTCTAATTTCATTAGAATTTTCTAAGGAAAGATATATACATTATCATTGAGAAAAATTTCCTTATAATTTGGCAGAATCTCAAAATCCTCTTTCTGTTATTTTGTAGTTTCATTTATTTCATAATCTATAAACCCCAAATTAGTCCTCGCTTCCCCTGCTCCTTCTTTAAAGAAACTATTCTCTATAATATCTGTTTTTTTAAAAACGTTTACAATAAGTAACAACCCCTGTCCCATCTTTCCACTTGGAATATTCTCATGCCTGGTAGAGTACGAGGCACATAGCAAGTATTCAGTAAATATTTGGACAGATGAATAAATTAAATTTAGAAGTATTATAATCTTGAATTTTTTTCTACCTAAACTGGTGGAATTCAGCCCAAAGGTCTCTAGATTCTGTTTTGACAGGCAGTGTTTTATTAGTTATTATCTCTGGTCAGTATTTCTTAAAGTGTAGGTTTTATCTTTTTGTTATTATATATTTTACATGTTAGATATTTTAAATTTAGTGATGATGTACACGTGAATGCCATATCATCATTTTTACTTTGTCAATCCCCAAAATAACGTTAGTTTTCCCACCACCACACCACATAGCAATCTACCTACCTCATGCTCCTTTTAGGGCTTTATCAGACCTAAACAAGGATGGGAAGATGGATCAGCAAGAGTTCTCCATAGCTATGAAACTCATCAAACTGAAGCTTCAAGGCCAACAGTTGCCTGTGGTTCTCCCTCCTATTATGAAGCAACCCCCTATGTTTTCTCCATTAATTTCTGCTCGTTTTGGTAAGTATGTATTAATTTAAATACCTGTATTTGCTACTTAAACTTTATCCCTAGGCATATTTGAGTATTAGAAAAGGATTTGTTAGCACAAAATGACAGTCCCCAGATTCCAAGTTAATTTTCATGTTAGAGATAATAAATATTAAATTCACTGTCACAGGTAGGGGATCCATGTGTTCTGGTTTTCTAGGGACAGTTCTGATTTATGCCTTTTGTCCTGGCATCTGGTCCAGTTAGTGTCTCCTTTTACAACTCCTAGTTGCGTGATGAATTATATGGTCTCCCTAGGTATAGCCAATCCCAAATACTATTCTTAGTTTCCTCTCTCTCTATATATATGTGAGTAATACAGAAAAAATTTTGAGCAGTTTTAAACTCACTTGAAATGGTTCGATTTGGGAGATAATTTAAAATTTTATGTAAGTTGAATTTTTTTAAAGGTTAATTAGCCAGCTAAATTTAGGGCCAAAAGTTGCAGACTTTGGGCTAATAAGTTCACGTATTCATCAGCGATAACCGGTTGGTATGTTTTCTGTTAATTTTGATCAGGCAATTTCTTATAATTATATGTGAGAAGCACTCATTTTGAATGGAACATTCAATTAGGTATGTCTATGTATCTGAAACATGTTCCTTCACTACAGATCTTAGAATATAGAATTCTAGAGCTGGTTATAGGGGTGTGTGCCTGTAGTTCTGGCTGCTTGGGAGGCTATGGGTAGGATTGCTTGAGTCCAGGAGTTTGAGGTTGTACTGTGCTATGATCGCACCTGTGAATAGCCACTTCATTCTAGTCGGGGCAACATAGTGAGACCCCCATCTCAAACAAACAACAGACTCCACAAAATTATTTCACTATTTTAGTGAATTCTAAAGATAAATACTAAATCATTGTGTGACCATATTTATAAGTATTCTGCAGTTAATAAATGAATAAAAGTCATCACTTTGTTCCTTTTAAGAACTCGTCCTTGAATTCATAGGAATGTTACTTACAAGAAAAGTAAAATATGTGACACACTTTCTTGCAAATAATGCATATGCATAAATGGATCTCATAAAGTATCTACTACTTAGAACCTTTTTGTTTGGGGGGAGTATGTGAGAGAGAGAGAGAAGAAGAATGTGTGTGTGTGTGTGTGTGTGTGTATTAGTCAAGTAACTTAGTAGCACTGTATTATCCTTTCACAAAAACCTCATTTGATCTGGTAATGTATTCTTTCCTTGAGGAGACTCATATTCAATTGGAAAAGGCTGCTTAGTTTTATTCATGATGAGAGAGGAGAATATTTAACTCTTTGCTAGGTGTTTTCTTAGTTCATACAGATCAGAGTATTAGTATTAAGAGCAGCAGTTTACCTCCCTCACTGCTGGGTCAAAGTAGTGAGTTTTTTAAGGATAATTCATCTGTGTGTTTTGGTAAACATAGAGTCTGCCCACTGTACTGTAAACTTGTTTTTTGCATGTGTTTTATAATTGATTTTCTAGCACTGGAAAAAATGTTTTCTTTTGACTTTAGGAATGGGAAGCATGCCCAATCTGTCCATTCCTCAGCCATTGCCTCCAGCTGCACCTATAACATCATTGTCTTCTGCGACTTCAGGGACCAACCTTCCTCCCTTAATGATGCCCACTCCCCTAGTGCCTTCTGTTAGCACATCATCATTACCAAATGGAACCGCCAGTCTCATTCAGCCTTTACCCATTCCTTATTCTTCTTCAAGTGAGTACTTTGTTTCTAAAGAGTCATTATTTCATGTAAAGAAAGAAACTATTTGTGTTTGAACAGATACAAATTTCTTTCATACTTTTCCTTCTTTTTCTTTTTTAGCATTGCCTCATGGGTCATCTTATAGTCTGATGATGGGAGGATTTGGAGGTGCTAGTATACAGAAAGCGCAGTCTCTGATTGATTTAGGATCTAGTAGGTATGAATAGCTAACTCTGACAACTTTTTATGCTTTCAGTAAGAAGTCTTTATTTAACAAATGATTTTTTTAAAGCTTTGAGCTTACCTAAGTTTTACTTTATAATGGCCAAGTACAAATACTTAAGGTAAATTTACTACTTACAACTCACATAAAATAAATTTTTTATTTTTAGAATTATTAAGTGTCTGTGGCATTTTACTTTTGAAAAAATAATTCATGTAAACTAAAAATATTCTATATTTTAATTTTTTCTTTGCCTAAAGCTGTGTACTTTTCCTTTAAAAAATGTGTATATTTCCCAAGATGTCTCATACTCATTGTACATTGTTAATTTCTTTCTTGAGCAGATTCTACTAATTGGATATCTTTTAAATTTTACAAAGCACAAATGCATCAGTATTCATTACATTAATCACCCTTCATATAAATCACTATTATACTCTTCAGGGTAGTGTACGGAGAGTGTTAGATTTGACCCAGAAGAACAACATTCATATCCTAGCTTGAACACTCACTGATTCTGTGGCCTTGTTTTTTCTTAACATCGCTGAGCCATAGTTTACCCATCTAAAAGATGGGGACTGTAGTATTTTTTAAGTTTGTTGGGAGGATTAGAAATATTTGTAAAGGCCTTAGTACAATATAAGGTCTGGCACAGAGCAGGTTCTTTATATGCGGTAGTCTCATGGAGTTCTATACTTCTTATGGTCTTTGCTTTACTAAGAATAGTGATAATTGCTTAAAATTTAAAAAAATGTAAAATGCAAAAGCAGTCACCATTGGCCAGGCACAGTGGCTCACGCCTGTAATCCCAGCACTTTGGGAGGCTGAGGTGGGCGGATTGCCTGAGCTCAGGAGTTCGAGACCAGCCTGGGGCAACATGGTGAAACCCTGTCTCTACTAAAAATGCGCACAAAAAAATTAGCCGGGCGTGGTGGCATGTGACTGTAGTCCCAGCTACTTGAGAGGCTGAGGCAGGAGAATTGCTTGAACCCGGGAGGTGGAGGTTGCAGTGATCCAGGATTGTGCCACTGCACTCCAGGCTGGCAACAGAGCGAGACTCTGTCTCCTCCCCAGAAAAAGAGAAAAGGCAGTCACCATTATAGTATGTAACAGCGATCCTCAACCTTTTTGGTACCAGGGACTGGTTTCATAGAAGACAGTTTTTTCACAGACTTGAAGCAATGGTTTTAGGATGAAACTGTTACATCTCAGATCATCAGGCATTAGATTCTCAAAGGGAGCATCCAACCTAGGTCCCTCACATGTGCCATTCACAATAGGGTTTGCACTCTTATGAGAATCTAATGCCACTGCTCACTGGACAGGAGCTGGAGCTCAGGTAGTAGTGCTCACTCACCTGCCACTCACCGAGCCCCGCTGTCCAGCCCGGTTCCTAACAGGTCGGTGGCCCGGGGGTTCAGGACCCCTGGTATATAAGATTCTTAATGCCTTGGTCTTATAAAATTTAATTAAATATATTTTATTTAGTAACATAAAAATTTTAAATAAATTTTTTTATAGCTCAACTTCCTCGACTGCTTCACTCTCAGGGAACTCACCCAAGACTGGGACCTCAGAGTGGGCAGTTCCTCAGCCTACAAGATTAAAATATCGGCAAAAATTTAATACTCTTGACAAAAGTATGAGTGGATATCTCTCAGGTAAGCAGCATACAGTGCTGAAGAGCATGAAAAAGGGTCTTTTATGTGGACTTCCACTGAAGAACTGTCATTTGAATTTGTATTGTGTAGCTCATCTGACATTTTAACATCCAAAAAATTTAGCAGGCATTTGATAAATACAAATACCTGAAGTTGTATAAGGATTCAAAGATGGATTCAACTTGATTGCTTTCTTCAAAGTTCTTACTGTCAAGTCGGGCACCAGATATACCCCCAACTTTTTGGCAAAAGACCTGTCCCTTAAGATCAGACCTCATCCTCTAAGCTTTGCAGTGAATGGAGAGCCACGGGTCACAAGAGAGAGTGTGTGGAACTTAGCCTCAGCTCACTTTTCCTGAGAATCCTCCTCTGCATTGGGCTTTTTCTCTGTTTATATAACCTCAAGTGAGCATTGCTCACCCTTTAATGCTCTAACCCAAATGTGACTGTAAAACTTGGCCTTAGTTCACTGTAAAACATTTGAGTCCAGGCCAGAACATCATCTGAACTGTACTAATTGAGAACAGCAAAGGAGACATAAACAGAGGGTAATAGGCAAGTAGAGTTCCCACCTTCTAACTTTCCCACTCCCTCTTCACTCAGCAAGAAATTATGATTTAGGACCGAGTAAAATAAGTGTTTAAAAATAATAGAGCTTTAAGTGCTAAGGAACATAGAATGAGATATATTGAAGCTGAAGAGTTCAGATGAGGTATCTTTTAGGAAGGGAGCATTTAAGCTCCATGAAAAAGTTAGGATTTCGACAGAGATTGAACGTGGGGGCATTTGATGGTGACAAAGGAGAAATTAAGAGCAAAAAATACATGGCCTATTTGGAGAATGAAAAGTAGTCTGTGAAATAGGAGTCCAGGGTCTGTAGTTATGCAGAGAGGCAAGGGAACGAGCAGTAAGACTTTTGGAATCGATTGGACAAGCAAAAATATACAGTATTTTATTTAAAGATACATACCTATGTGATAACTATTTTTTAAAGCAAGGGAATTATGCATACAAAATTCAGGATAGTGGTTACCTCTTGTGGAAGCATGGGGATAAGTCAAGGAACACGGATAGATTCAAGGCATTTAGTAGTAATCTAGTTCTTAAGATGGGTGGTAGGTTCACGGGTGACCTATTATACTTCTTAGCTTACATATATACTTTGTATTTTTACATGTATTTCATATTACATAACTAAGATTTTCTGTAATTTTATCAAATTGCATGAAACAAGGTATGCTTTTTTGACACTTTTTTTTTTTTACATTTTAATGTCTCTAAAATTAGGATGTGTGCTACAATTAGTGATGTCTTAGCACTGTGTCATAGTTTTATTAGCAGTGCTTTCTTTCTTATTCATAAAATAATAGTATGTCTTATAGCCAGTGGAATTTTAGATTCTGTGAAATATGGTATTGAACCATACTGGAGATTAATATAAAGTCATAATTCCTATTCTTTGAAAAAATTAACTTCTTTGTACCCTACATTTTGCATTTAAAAAGTTAATTTTGGCCAGGTGCGGTGGCTCACGCCTGTAATCCCAGCACTTTGGGAGGCTGGGGCAGACAGATCATGAGGTCAAGAGATCGAGACCATCCTGGCCAACATGGTGAAACCCCGTCTCTACTAAAAATACAAAAATTAGCTGGGCATGGTGGTGCACACCTGTAGTCCCAGCTACTCTGGAGGCTGAGGCAGGAGAATTGCTTGAACCTAGGAGGCGGAGGTTGCAGTGAGCCGAGATTGCGCCAGTGCACTCCAGCCTGGCAACAGAACGAGACTCTGTCTCAAAAAAAAAAAAAAAGTTTATCTTTGCTAGGCATAGCGGCATGTGCCTATAGTCCCAACTACTTGGGAGGATGTGGCAAGAGGATTGCTTGAGCCCAAGAGTCCAGCCTGGGCAACATAGTGAGACCCCATCTCTCTAATAAAAAGAAGTTATTTGTTTTCAACTGAACAAA
This sequence comes from Homo sapiens, assembly GCF_000001405.40. Taxonomy (NCBI): domain Eukaryota; kingdom Metazoa; phylum Chordata; class Mammalia; order Primates; family Hominidae; genus Homo; species Homo sapiens. The sequence continues at coordinate 24,306,652 of NC_000002.12, read as the reverse complement.
AGTTGATGAAAAAGACATTTACAAAAATGTTCACAACCTAAATGTTCATCGACAGGAGAATAGATAAATGACAGTATATTTACATAACAGAATACTTTAAAGCGATAAAACCAAATGAACTGCTGATACCTGCAACAACATGAATGACTTTCACAGGTATGGTATTGAATGAAAGCAGCCCAAAAGGACCATACCATTTAACCCATTTATATGAGGCTGAAGAACAGGAAACCTAATTAATGGTGATAGAAATCAGAATAATGTGGTTACTGTGTGGGGAAGGGGCCATGTGCAAACCTTCTGAGTTGCTGGAAACATTCTGCATCTTGATACAGGTGTGTATGTGCATACCTGTGTAAAAATTCATTAGGCAGGCCGGGTGCAGTGGCTCACACCTGTAATTCCAACATTTTGGGAGGCTGAGGCGGGCGGATCACTTGAGGTCAGGAGTTTGAGACCAGCCTGGTCAACATGGTGAAACCCCATCGCTACTAAAAATATAAAAATTAACCAGGCGTGGTGGTGGACGCCTGTAATCCTAGCTACTCTGGAGTCTGAGGCAACAGAATTATTTGTGCCTGGGAGGCAGAGGTTGCAGTGAGCTGAGATCATGCCACTGCACTCCAGCCTGGGTGACAGAACTAGACTACGTCTCAAAAAAGAAAAAATTATTAGGCAGCACACTTAAGAGTAGTACGCTTTGTATAAGTACTGTAACTATAACAGTATAAACAGAGGTGATTTTGCATTGGAATATGAAGGGCAGTGAATGGGGAGCCAACTGTGGGGAAGTGATCCCTAATGTTACTTCATTAGTATATGTCACATTGTACGAAGGTTGTGTATTATGGTGTTTTTTAGGGAATGTCATTATTATTCTGAGACCTACAAGGGTAAAGCTATATATCTGTAGGTAAAGACAAGGTTTTCTATAAAAAGAGTAGTTGCTGCTGGTGTCCTTAAGCTGAGCATGAGCCCCAAGAACATGAGGATGAGGCTAACCTGGACTTATATGTTTGTTTTGTTCAATAAGTGTAGGAGTTGGTGATCCTTTTTTTTTTTTTTTTTTTTTTTTTGAGACAGAGTCTTGCTCTGTTGCCCAGGCTGGAGTGCAGTGGTGCGATCTTGGCCCACTGCAGCCTCTGCCTCCCCGGGTTCCAGCGATTCTCCTGCCTCCTACAGGCACACGCCACCACGCCCAGCTAATTTTTCTTAGTAGAGACAGGTTTTGCCATGTTGGCCAGGCTGGTCTCGAACTCCCAACCTCAGGTGATCCGCCCGCCTTGGTCTCCCAAAGTTCTGGGATTACAGACGTGAGCTACCGCGCCTGTCCACTGGTCTGTTTTTCCCTTTTTTACTTCTCTTCTCCTCCCCCTAAACATAGTTTTTAAAAATTTATTTAGATCAAGTCATTGATGTAACTGTTTCCTGAATCACATACTTTCTGGGCACTCTCTTAGGCACAGGAATACAGACAGGGGCAAGACATGGTTCATATCTTTGAAGAGCCCATATAATGAAGAGCTCATGTAATCAAGGTGTTTGGTTACTTGTTTAAAAGTGCTGTGATTAATATAGATGAGAAAGTGACTAACTCCAAGGATATAAGAGAGAATGTTTCACAGAAGAAAAGAGATTAGAGCCAGATTTCAGAGGATAGACTACAAAGTAAAGAATTGAGGGTCTGGCATTCTAAGCAGAGGATATAGGATATCCAGAGGCTTGGCCGACTAAGAGTGTACATACATGTTCAAATGAGTTTTACTTAGTAAGTAAGATACTCTGTTGGCTCTCTATGGCCCTTTGTATTACTCAGACTTTGCCTCACACATATAAAGCCCTCCACGAGTATGATTTTTAACCATTTACATTCCTCCTCCTTCTCTCTTCTGTTTGCTCTATTGCCTGATGCTAAGGGATCTTCTTTCAGTCCAAAAGGATCTTTTTTCGGTCCAAAAGCTGAAATAGTAGTTTTGAACTTTTTTTCAGGTTTGAAATAGCCTTCCATCTCTCTTATTTAGAAGAATCTTCCTTTTAACACAAAGACCTCCTCAAATCAAATTTCCTAAGTGAAATCTGAGGAGTAATTAATAGGGCGAGGCTGTGAGTTTAATTTCCAGTGTTTTTATGTGATTTATGTTAAATGTCCAGATTAAAAAAATAGAATGAAAATATTTTAAAAGTTATAAAATATAAACATTTAGCTGCATGTTGTAATACATGGTTGCTTTGATTATCAAGTCCTATGTTGAAAGCCTAGTGGGACAATAAATCTAGCTGCATTTGGCTGGCTTTTGTTGTAGTTGGAGCTGTTGCTGAGGCAGTGTTGGCAGATGTAATCTCTTGTGTAAGAGTTGTTTTGGACAGGCCTTGACTCAGGCTGAACCCAGAGTAGCGCCTGACTCTTCTGCTACTCACGGCTCAGTCACGTAGGAGTGGGAAGTGCTGCACCTGCTGGGAGTACAAGAGGGCCCACAGTCTTGGCCTCTGATACTCTGTGTGCCTGATATCTTGTTCTTTCACGTTAGCCACTTGTGTGTATTATTATCTTGCTGAAAAGACAGGGGACAGCACTTGATACTGCTAATTCTAGATTTAAAATTCCTTGGGGCAGTGACTGGGTTTAATTGCTACTGAATGCTTAGCACCTAGCACGTGGTAAAAACATTTTGATGTTAAAAGTTCCCAGGATACCCTGGTAGCATTGTTATTTTACAGATACAGCTAATTTGTTATGCATAACTTTAAAGATGCTAAAGAATTCCTTTATGATTTTCCCCACTTAATCAGGTTTTCAAGCTAGAAATGCCCTTCTTCAGTCAAATCTTTCTCAAACTCAGCTGGCTACTATTTGGTAAGTTTGTCCCTTAATTACATTTGATTAATTTAACTATGCATTAATTAATTAAACTCTCTCTCCCCTATTACAAGAAAGATACTGTTTCTGTAAAAGTTTGTGACTCAGAGATGCTCTATAAAAGCAGCCATTTGAAAGTTAGTATTAAGCTTGGAGGCAAATGTAATTGTGCAGAATGTTGTTGTACCCTTAAGCTACACCAAATTTACAAAAAATATTTTCTTCAACAATAGATTAATCTTGGCATACAATAACTTTTTAACTTTGTAAACCTTTTAATTTTTTAAAACTTTTTGACTCTTGTAATAACACTTAGCTTAAAACACAAACACATTGTACAGAAAGATATTTATATCCTATTCTTTAAGCTCTTTCTTGTTTTTAAAATTTATTTTTACTATTTAAACTTTCGGTAAAAACTGAGACACAAAGACACCCATTAGCTTAGGCCTGTAGAGGGTCAAGATCATCAGTATCACTATCTTCTACCTCCACATCTTGTCTCACTGGAAGGTGTTCGGGGCAATAACACGCATGGAGCCATTGTCTCCTATGATAACAATGCCTTCTGGAATTTCTCCTGACTGACCTGCCTGAGGCTGTCTTACAGTTAACTTTTTTTTTTCTGTAAGTAGAAGGAGTATACTCTAAAATAACAATAAAAATAAAGTATAGTAAATACATAATCCAGTAATATATTAACAGATGTTTATTGTTATTGAGTGTATGTACTGTAGATAATTGTATATGCTGTACTTTTCTACAGCTGGCAGTGCAGTATGTTTGTTCAGACTAGCATCACCACAGACACATAGGTAATGCGTTGCTTTATGACAGCTACAGTGTCCTTAGGTGGTAGGAATTTTTCAGCTCCATTATAATCTTATGGGACCACCATTATAAATGCAGTCCATTGTTGACTGATATGTCATTATGCAGTTCATGACTATATTTTACTAGAAAAACTGTTGTTTTCTTTCATCTAATCCCTTCTATGGAGAATCAGAGAATATCTTGTTTTTAATATAGGTAAATGTGATTTGGTAGGTGAATTAACCATGGAGTAAGACAAGCCACTTTCTCAGAAGGGGTAGTTACTTCTCTTTCTGTTTCAAAGTTTCTTCCCTCTCTTTTATGTCTTGAAAATCAACGGTAAAAAATTAATTCACTATTGAAGTACATACTTACATACTTACATTCAATAGTGAGTTACGTAAATGTACGTATTTACATTTCACTAAAATAAGTGTACCCAGCAGTTTTACCATCATTATCCTTCTTTTAAAAATAAAAAATTGGCCGGGCCCAGGTGGCTCACGCCTGTAATCTCAGCACTTTGGGAGGCTGAGGCGGGCGGATCACGAGGTCAGGAGATCGAGACCATCCTGGCTAACACGGTGAAACCCCGTCTCTACTAAAAATACAAAAAATTAGCCAGGCGTGGTGGCGGGCGCCTGTAGTCCCAGCTACTCGGGAGACTGAGGCAGGAGAATGGCGTGAACCCGGGAGGCGGAGCTTGCAGTGAGCTGAGATCGCGCCACTGCACTCCAGGTTGAGCGACAGAGCTAGACTCCATCTCAAATAAATAAATAAATAAATAAATAAATAAAAGTAAAATAAAAATTGAACTTTTAAGGCAATATTTTACTCCAAATAGACTTTATTAAGTTGTGAATTTTAACATTTTCTTTAGGACTCTGGCTGACGTTGATGGTGATGGACAGCTAAAAGCAGAAGAGTTTATTCTTGCAATGCACCTTACTGACATGGCCAAAGCTGGACAGCCATTACCACTGACTTTACCTCCTGAGCTTGTTCCTCCATCTTTCAGGTGAGTGTGCCTGGAGGTGGAGAACTATGGTTTTGATAACTTGGCAGATGTGATTTAGAAGAGAGTTAAATATTTGCACTGCCATTGATTTTAGTATTCAACAAGTTATACTTGAAAAGGGTACATATTAGAAGTAGGTGTGGGCCAGGCGTGGCAGCTTACGCCTGTAATCATAACACTGGGAGCCAAGGTGGGAGGATCACATGAGGCCGGGAGTTCAGGACCAGCGTGGACAACATAGTGAGACCCCGTATCTACAAAAATAAAAATAATTAGCCAGGTGTGGTGGTGTGCGCCTGTAGTCCTAGGTACTCTGGAAGCTGGGGCAGGAGGATCACTGGAGCATAGAAGTTCAAGGCTACAGTAAGTTGTGATTATGCCACAGCACTCTAGCCTGGGCAGCAGAGCAAGACCCTGCCTCAAAAAAAAAAAAAAAAAGAAGTGGATGTGTTTTCATTATGTTATACATAAGGAGGCTAATGACTAAAGAGATAAAGAAAAACTTGCCCAAGAACCAAAATTAGCTGAACTGTGATTTGAATCCAGATTTCTCTGTCTTGAATATCCATATACTACTGTATTTTGTAACGACATACCAAACTGTTTTAAATATCTTTAATACTGTATTCCCAATATCAAATTGCCATAATCACTGGTAGTCTGTGTAATCTAGTCTGAAAATGTCCAGACTACATGATGCTAACTTTGTTGTTTGATTTTTTTAGAGGAGGAAAGCAAATTGATTCCATTAATGGAACTCTGCCTTCATATCAGAAAATGCAAGAAGAGGAGCCTCAGAAGAAATTACCAGGTATCACTGAGTGTCAAAGTTGTATATTTATACTGAGTTCTTTTAAATTCTACCTTTAAATGTAATGGAATATTTAGAATTTTTATATTTTTAATATTTGATGTGCTATATGAGAAAAAACTATTTGATAGATGGGATGTATTTTGGTATTGATAAAATTAAGATGGTCAAAATGAGAAGAGTGTGAAGGAAGAAGAGACAGTTAGATGTATTTGACAGGATTATAGACATCTGAGTTAAAGTATTTCTCCTAATTTAGGCTGAGTTATTAGAGGAAACTTTGTAATGAAATCTTTACCTTTAAAAACATTTAAATATTGGTTGAAAGAATACATTTGTAGCTGTTTTAATATATTAGGATGTTAATGACATCAAAACAAATGTATAACCACACAGCTTTGATTGTCCTTGAAGAAGAGAAAAAAGTTGAAAAAGTTTTTTTTTTTTTTCCTTGTTGCCCAGGCTGGAGTGCAACAGCACAATCCCGGCTCACTGCAACTTCCGCCTCCTGGGTTCAAGCGATTCTCCTGTCTCAGCCTCCTGAGTAGCTGGGATTACAGGTGCCTGCCACTATGCCTGGCTAATTTTTGGTATTTTTAGTAGAGATGGGGTTTCACCGTGTTGGCCAGGCCGGTCTTGAACTGCTGACCTCAGGTGATCCGCCCACCTTGGCCTCCCAAAGTGTTGGGATTACAGGCATGAGCCACCACACCCAACCGAAAAAGTATTTTTATTGGCAAGTTTATAAAAATTATTTCTCTCTTGATTGGATTCAAACTTAAAAATTTGTTTTTCTAAAATTGAATATCCTTGAAGAAAGTAGATATTTTTCCACTTAGATTTGAGTTAAAATTATCCTTAGGAGAAGTATTCAAATACTGATAGCACTCAAATGATCACAAGGCATAAGTATATAGAAACTAGATTACAGGTTCTGTAGGCTGTTAATGTGTGTGGATGCTGATAGGCATACCTTGTTCAGTTACTTTTGAGGACAAACGGAAAGCCAACTATGAGCGAGGGAACATGGAGCTGGAAAAGCGACGCCAAGCCTTGATGGAGCAGCAACAAAGGGAGGCAGAACGTAAAGCCCAGAAAGAAAAGGAAGAGTGGGAACGAAAACAGAGAGAATTACAAGAACAAGAATGGAAGAAACAACTTGAATTAGAAAAACGCTTAGAGAAGCAACGGGAATTGGAGAGACAACGAGAGGAAGAAAGGAGAAAAGACATAGAAAGACGAGAGGTTATTTTTAAGTTTTTTACTTCTTAAGAAAATCATTACATTTAATAAGTGACTATATTTCATTTGATTAAAAAATGCTTATTTTTGAATTTTTGTTTTGCCTTTTGCTCTGCATCATTTCATTCTTACCCTATACAAATCTGATCATTCCTTCCCTTGAGGAGGGAAAGAGGCTTCTTGCTTATAAGGAGTTTTCAGAACTGGTACGTGGTAGAGAAAGCATCCTCTGCAGGTGATATCTCAATCAAAGGAGGATCGACTGCAGAGCTAAGTTGAGTGAGGAGCTAAGGTTAGTTAGGCAACTGAGCAAGTCATTAGACGAAAGCAAGTTTAAGATCCAGATTAAGAGTCCAAGGAATTGGAGAGACAGAAAGATGAGAGCTGGGCATTGAAAGTCTCTCTAGAGAGGAATCAAGAGGATGGGCTTGCACAGGCCTTTGGGATAGTGTTGCTGGGAAAGAAGGGTCCTTAGGAGGACTGGCTGTGTTTTAAAGGGCCAGGGATGGAGCACAGGAAGTTATTGCACACTGAAATAATATAAATAGAATTTTTCCCCCAGATACCAGAATAGAGGGAAAATTATTCCTGTTAACATTTATATTTATGAAGTCATTCTGTAACTTATTAAGAGAAAAATGACTGTAACAAAAGGATGGTCTTCCAACCTGGGCAACATGGTGAAACCCTCTCTCTACAAAAAGTACAAAAATTAGCCAGGTGTGTGGTGGTGTGTGCCTGTAATCCCAGCTACTTGGTGGGGCTGAGGCAGGAGAATCGCTTGAGCCCAGGTGGTGGAGGTTGCAGTGAGCCAAGGTGGTGCCACTGCACTCCAGCCTGGGTGACAGAGCAAGATGCTGTCTGGAAAAAAAAAAAAAAAAAAAAGATCTCGTGAAGAAATGAGAAAATATGATAGATGAAGCCACTTTCTTGGAAGTCTTTAAGCCCATTAATAAAACTAGATTTGCCTAGCTACCCTTAGGCACTAAAGCCACTAAGTGCTAAACTCTGCCTGACTTTTATTGTTGTCTTCCCAGTTTTTGAATCGTGCAAAATTTTTGATTTAAAAATTAAGTATAATTCCTTTTTTTTTTCAGGCAGCAAAACAGGAACTTGAACGACAACGTCGCTTAGAATGGGAGAGAATTCGGCGACAGGAGCTTCTCAATCAAAAGAATAGAGAACAAGAAGAAATTGTCAGGTTAAACTCTAAAAAGAAGAATCTTCATCTTGAGTTGGAAGCACTGGTATGGCTGAAGTTTAAGTGAAATTTATCTGAATGATGATGGAGCTACCTGTTGAAAAATGTAATTGTGGGCCAGGCGTGGTGGCTCACACCTGTTATCCTAGCACTTTGGGAGGCCAAGGCAGGCAGATCAACTGGGGCAGGAGTTTGAAACCAGCCTGGCCAACATGGTGAAACCCCATCTCTACTAAAAAAAAAAATTAGCCAGCTGTGGGCTGGGCATGGTGGCTCACTGTAATCCCAACGCTTTGGGAGGCTGAGGTGGGTGGATCACGAGGTCAGGAGTTCAAGACCAGCCTGGCCAATATAGTGAAACCCCATCTCTACTAAAAATACAAAAATTAGCCAGGAGTGGTGGTGTGCGCCTGTAGTCCCAGCTACTTGGGACACTGAGGCAGAAGAATTGCTTGAACCTGGGAGGCGGAGGTTGCAGTGAGCTGAGATCGCGCCACTGCACTCGAGCCTGGGCAACAGAGTGAGACTCCGTCTCAAACAAACAAACAAAAATTAGCTGGCCGTGGTGGGTGGTGGTGGGTGCCTGTAATCCTAGCTACTTGGGAGGCTGAGGCAGGAGAATCACTTGAACCCAGGAGGTGGAGGTTGCAGTGAGCCAAGATCGCACCACTGCACTCCAGCCTAGGTAACAGAGTGAGACGCCATCTCAAAAAAAAAAAAAAGAAAAATGTAATTGTGTTTTAAAATCTCTCGTGAATTAGTTATGTCTTAATGTCATTAGTCACATTTTCATATAAACAGACTGTACAATATGGTTTACTGAGAAAAGGATAATGACTCAAAATGCTGAGAATTATGTTGTAGCATCAGTTCAGACACTGATGAACCATGTACTCCTGGGCAAGACATTTCCCTTCTCTGTGCCTCACTTTTCCCTTGTCTGAAATAAAGAGTTGTGTTAGTTGAGTGATTTTCAGTTTTCAGATTGGTCTCTGTAAGATGGTCTGAGGAGGACTAAGCAGAGGCAGGAGAGGGGAAGCTCGGGCAGCAGAACAGTGATTTTCTCTCCCTAATTCTTCCCACGCTTCACAACAGAGAAGCTTGACATTTATGTGCTTTATGTTTCTTGGGGTTTCACTCAAGATTTGCTTGGAAAAAAAAAGATTCTACTATTAAAAAGACAACTGATTTGAAACTGCTGACCTAAATGATCTCTTACAGTTCCAGTTCTGCAGGATTGTAGTTCTTAGCTAATACTGGCCACTAAGCAGTTTTTACCAATCAGATGTTAGAGGGTCAAGTTGTTAAAAGACTTTGTTTGAAATGTGTGGTGAGAAGGTATAAAAGATCTGGCACTATTCTGCCACAACCCTAGAATCCCATGAGCCTACCCTGATCATATAGTAGGGTTTTACAAAAATGCATACCTAGTCATGTAGTAGAGCCAGATTTAGATCTTGTGTGATCATAGTCTAACATTTTATTTGGTTGATGACTTGAATTACATTAAAAATTATTTTTTTAATCATCACAATATCTTTAGTCAGAAATATATTATTTTATTCCTTCAAATGGATAGACATACATACCACAAGTATTAATCATGCCAGAGTACTACAAAACAGTTGTAAAAAACTTTTAACTCTCTTGCACTATTTTTATATATATATATCATCTTGACTATATATAATGGGAAGAGACCTTAAGATTGATTGTTTTTCCCTCAAGAACTGGTGCAACACATGAAGCACAGTAACACAGGTGAATGTGCAGAGTCTGGAAAGGTCCAGAGCCTATACGTATCCCATGTTGAGGATAAGAATGTGAGCTCCAGCAGAGATACACATGTTCCTTTCAGTGTATGTATTTCAAATATGAAACAGTCTTCAGTAAAACTTTTCATCATCAGTAAGTTTTAACCCAGGATGTCATTTCCCCTCACTCCACTGTATTAGTTTGGTAGGGCTGCTGTAACAAAATACGATAGGCTAGGTGGCTTAAACAACAGAAATTAATTTTTTCACAGCTCCTAAGATCTAAGACCAAGGTTAGTTAGGCTTAGTTTCTTGTGAGGCCTCTTTTGGTGGCTTGCAGGTGGCCATCTTTCATTGTGTCCTTATATGGTGTTTTCTCTGAGTGTATTTTATCTCTGGTGCCTTTTGTGTTCAGATTTCCACCTCTAATAAGGACACCAGTTAGATTGGATTAGGGTCCACCTGTATGACTTTGTTTAACCTTAATCACCTCTTTAAAGGCCCTGTCTCCAAATATTGTCACATTCTGAGGTACTGGGGCTTGGGACTTTAACATATGAATTTTGGGGGACACAGTTCAGCCCATAACCCCCCATGTCACCCTTCTTCTTAGGTCCCATTGAGAATCTCTGCTATTTGTTTGATTTCTTCACAGAAGAAGAGGAAAAAAGGAGAAGAATATTAGTATAGAACAGAACTGTTGCCAAAACGTTCCTCCTGGGCACTGTTTTAATTAGAGGAAATTAGATGGCCATATTTAGGGTAGAAATAGAAGTTCAGAGAAGGTAATGCCGAGCATCACATGCAAACATTTATTCCTCTTCATCATTCTTTGAGAGTGTCTCTGATATTAATATTGTTAATTAATATTGTCTAATGCTGAATTCAGAAAAAAATTCAATGTGTTATGTTTCTGCTTTCCCATACTAACATATGGGCTCTTGCACTCTGAGAATGATGTGTTTCCCACTAATAACTCGAGTTAACAGACACAACTCTGAAACACATTCCACTTGGTTTTAGGCATTTGTTTCAGGATGAATATGAATGATAACTGAGATTTTAAAATTTAACTAAAAATATTATTCTCCTTGTAGAAACATTTTCTATTAGCATTTTATGTTACTATATATTTATATGATCTTCCTATAGAATGGCAAACATCAGCAGATCTCAGGCAGACTTCAGGATGTCCGACTCAAAAAGCAAACTCAAAAGACTGAGCTGGAAGTTCTGGATAAGCAGTGTGACTTGGAAATTATGGAAATCAAGCAACTTCAACAGGAACTTCAGGTAAGTCCTTCACTGCTAAATTGTTCTTAAACATGTACAATTAATAGTTCTTCTGGGCTGGGCACGGTGGCTCACGGCTGTAATGCTAGCACTTTGGGAGGCTGAGGCGGGTGGATCCCCTGAGGTCAGGAGTTCGAGACCAGCCCAGTCAGCAGGGCAAAACCCCGTCTCTACTAAAAATACAAAAAAATTAGCTGGGTATGGTGGCGCATGCCTGTAATCCCAGCAACTCGGGAGGCTGAGGCAGGAGAATCGCTTGATTCCGGGAGGCAGAGGTTGCAGTGAACCCAGATCGCACCACTGTACTCCAGCATGGATGATAGAGCGAGATTCCATCTCAAAACAAAACAAAACGAAACAGTTCTTCTAATAGAGTTTTGTTTTGGGGGTCAATAACCTTGAGTCTTTGATAGGCTTGTGATCTAAATACACGCAATCCTGTATACAATATCAGGAAGTCCATAGACCTACTAAAACTCTGCTAGACGTCTGGTTAAGTTTTGCTTAATATATATACGTAAGTGGACATTTATCACTTTGAGTTTTAACTCTTTAACAATGTTTATGCATTCTTAATTCATTACTTGCTATAACAAACGACCTTAGACTGGGTAATTTATAAACAACAGAAATTTATTACTCATAGTTCTAGAGACTGAGAAGTCCAAGATCAAGGTGTTAGCAGATTCAGTGTCCGATGAGGGCTTGCTGTCTCCTTTAAAACTAGTGCCTTCTTGCTGCGTCTTCACATGCAGAAAGGGTAAGGCAGTCCCTTCAACTTCCTTTATAAGGACAGTCATCTCATTCATGAGTGTGGAGCCTCCTAAAGCCCTACTTCTTAATAGTACTGCATTGGGAGTTAGGTTCCAACATATGAATGTTGGGGACATACCAACATTCAGACCATATCATACATTAAAATAAGGTTATTGCTACTAATTTTAGGAAATTTTGACTTAAAGTTATTCTTTTTAAAATTATGATGAGAACTTGAATATGTCCCTTGGGGTCCTGGTAATTCTCTTCCTTACTTGTGCAGTAGGGTCTGGTTCAATAATTACTATTTGCAGAATGGGGCTGTGGAAGCATTCTGCATCTCTAGAGTTCTCTTACCCAATTTCTCTTACTGCATGGACTGGCAATTAATCAGTCTTTTTGCTTTGTTACAGGAGAGATAAACAAAAGCCAAAAATATTTTCTGTCTGATTTAAACCTGCTTTCCTAGTTTTTAGTCCTTTTTATTTTTTCCTCCCTCTGTCACCCAGGCTGGAGTGCAGTGGCATGACCTCAGCTCACTGCAACTTCTGCCTCCCAGGCTCAAGCAATTCTCCTGCTTCAGCCTTCTGAGTAGCTGGGATTACAGGCACCCACCACCACGCCTGGCTAATTTTTGTGTTTTTCGTGGAGACGGGGTTTCACCATGTTGACCAGGCTGGTCTTGAACTCCTGACCTCAAGTGATCCACCTGCCTTGGCCTCCCAAAGTGCTGAGATTACAGGTGTGAGCCACCGCACCCAGCTTTTAGTCCCTCTTTGATATACACATATTCATCCTGAAGTATCATGGCATGCTTACACATACCATCTAGCGCAGGTCTGCTGTCATTCATCAGTAAGCTGAAAATTGTAGGCTTCTAGACACACCCCATTTACAAAGGCTTTCTTCACTGCCTTTTAATTTCAGCCAGTCACTCAAAATTGATTTTGGCTTAAATATTTCTTGGCATAATTCCATTCTAGTTGATTCATAAGTTGTAAGCAGTTTACAACTATGTATTATTTCTAAAATAAGTTTCAAAGATGAGTAAATCCTGTTTTAAAGTTTTCAAAAAAAACTCTTGGACAATATTATAACATTGTAATCAGGTACTATTTTTTCTTTTTATAAGGAATATCAGAATAAGCTTATCTATCTGGTACCTGAGAAGCAATTATTAAATGAAAGAATTAAAAACATGCAGTTCAGTAACACACCTGGTAAGTCTCTAAGGTTTGTCTGATTACTTTTATCCTTTTCTGAATGACTGTATCAGTCACATTGTTACTTTTTTAAAATTAAAAAAAGTATTCTGTTATAAATAACACTTTTTGCCTGTAAGTTTAAAGTTTCAAAATAAAGTGAAAAATATCCCAGATGTTAGAGCATTTTTAGTGATAAAAAGTAGATAAAAATAAAATAGTAATGATTGTGGTATGACTTCATATCTTGATGATATTTTTATGTATATAATTGAAACATCAAATAAAGTGTTAGACTATAAGATATAAATTTGGCTCTAACACAAGACTACATGTGCATTTTGAAAAGTCCTGCACTGATTTTAAAGAACTGTTCAGGAGGAGGCTTTATGGTGGGGCCGCACCTGGGATTCTAGGGTGTTAGCGTGCAGCAGTCATAGGCTTAAGCAGGATGGTATGCTCTGCCCAGACCCTTTATATTATCTAACTCTGTGCTTCATACAAAGAATTTTACCATCTTGGCCCTCTGACACCTGTGGAACAAAACATTCCAGGATAATTTATGGGATAGTAACTGTTTTTGTTTTTGCTCAGGTCCCAATGAGAAAACTGAAAAAAATTCTCTGTATTGGATACTATACCAATAAAAGCATAGCAGAAACAAGGTTTATTTAAAGAAAAGTAAATCTGCAGATGTTGTGTTACAACTGACTAAAGTATCCTAAAATGTCACTCATTGAGTCTCTATCAAGTCAATTATTCCATTGTAGGTCTCTTTATTATAGTTTTGGCTGTTTACAAAGTTCAATAAATAGTATCCCCTTCTTTGCGCAAGTTCTGAACAAATTAAGAAATAAGGCAAAGGAGCAAGACAAATGAGAAACCAAATCACTGCCTCATTATTGATGAAGCTGATTCTAGGCAGTGTGGTTTATCTGTGGGTGGTATAGTTGCACCTATAAAGCACTGGATGCATGAACAAAGTAGAATGCAGGTTTCCTGTGGGCAGTTAAGTCTCTAGAGAGTGAGGGCTTAGGAGGAGCCTAGGCTGTACATTCCTAGGTCTTTAACTTGAGCTCACTAGTTAGTGAAAGGAAGGAAAGAAGCTGGGATTGTTGGGCTAGTGCAGGGCCCTTCACGTGGAAGAAATATCAGAAATGAAGTTCACTCTTGTGAACTATTTTTATTGTGTCTCCTGCCTTCCATTGATGTGGTCTATCCATGTCCCTGCTCAGACAGTGTTCCTTATACTTGGTTCTTTCCTGTTCAAAGTATATTAGCCCCCACCTCACCCCTACACAGGCATTCCAGAGTCAGGGTGAGCTAACCCACCTGATATGCACAGTGGCAGAAATATATCTTTATTATTGTCATCATTGTTGTCATTGTTCCTATTTGAATTGTGAATAAAATGTAGAATATGTCTTATTGAGGACGTGATGGGGCTATTCTTTCTCTGTGGAATGTAATTCAGTGCAGCTGTTACCTATTTATTTATTTAGCCATAGTCCAATTCAAAATAGGAAGCTTTTGTTTGGGCTTTGAAAAGTACCCTGTATCCCTTAGATGCCTCTCTGTATAACAATTGCCATTTAAGATTACCAGCCATGTGCCAAGCACTGTGTGAGTCAGTTTTGATGCATTCTTTCCTTTAATCTTTACAATAACCCTTTGGTATAGTTATTATTCCCATTGTGAGCTCAGGAAAACTGAGGTTCAGAGAGATTAAGTAGTTACCCAGGATGGTACAATCATAGTACTCAAATTCATGTCTAACTGTAAAGCCCACTGTACTACCATGTTGTTTCTTTGTCTTATTTTCCAGTTACCCAACATAGTGCTCATATATGTCATCAAATTTGGTATTAAAACATGCATTATTAGTAATATACATTGTTATGAATAAAGCAGAAATATGGGCCGGGTGCAGTGGCTCATGCCTGCAATCCTAGCACTTTGGGAGGCCAAGGCAGGCGGATCACGAGGTCAAGAGATCGAGATCATCCTGGCCAACATGGTGATACGCCATCTCTACTAAAAATACAAAAATTAGCTGGGCATGGTGGCGCACGCCTGTAGTCCCAGCTACTCAGGAGGCTGAGGCAGGAGAATCACTTGAACCTGGGAGGCAGAGGCTGCAGTGAGCTGAGATCGCACCGCTGCCCTCCAGCCTGGTGACAGAGCGAGACTCCGTCTCAAAAAAAAAAAAAAAAAAAGGAAGAAGAAGAAATATGCAGCTATAACACTTCGCTAATAGACGTGAAAGATTCCTGAATAGGCTGGACACTGTGGCTCATGCCTGTAATCCCAGCACTTTAGGGTGCTGAGGTGGGCAGATCACTTGAAGCCAGGAGTTTGAGACCAGCCTGGCCAATGCGGTGAAACCCCATCACTGCTAAAAATACAAAAATCAGTAGGGGTAGTGGCACGCATCTGTGGTCTCAGCTACTCGGAAGGTTGAAGCATGAGAATTGCTTGAACGTGGGAGGCAGAGGTTGCAGTGGGCCGAGATGGTGCCACTGCACTCCAGCCTGGGTAATAGAGTGAGACTCTGTCTCAAAACAAAATAAAAAAAAAAGATTCCTGAATAATTAGAGACATTTTATGTTCCTAAATGAACTAGCTTAATATTATACTATACTATACATCAATACTATGTCAGTTCTCTCCTAATTTATATATTCAGTTCTTTTTGGGTTTCTTAAAATGAAACTTGGGAAGATAACTGACAAATTCATCTAGAAAATAAATTGTACAAGATTAGGCAAAACTTGAAAAAGAAAAACTTTGGTAGGGGGGAGGAGACTAACCCTATCAGATATCGAAACATAAGATATGAAAGTTAGAGTGCCTAAAATAGTGTGTTATTGATCAGAAATAGAAAAGTAGAACAATGGAATTGAATAGAGTCTAGAAGAAAGCCCATGCATGTATGGCAACGTAGGATAAGATAAAGTTGGCACTTAACATCAGTGGGGAAAGGATGGGCTTTCAGTAAGTGATTTGAGGGACAGTGGATTATCTGAAAGAGTTGCAGAGGAGCTCTTTACCGCTCTCTATGTACAGAAATAAATTCTAGATAAATTAGGAGGCTAAACATAAAAACAACTTAAAAACTATTATAAAACAGGAAAATATTTTATAATCTTGGTATGAGGAAGGTCTCTTTAAACAATACATAGAGTCATGAAGAAAATACTTACAGATTTGATGATTAAAAATGAAAACATCATAATGAAAGACAGCATAAACACTAAAAAATTTGAAGTACATGTAATACAAGAATTTAGAGCTTCTACAAATCAAAAATTAAGACAGCCCAATAGAAAAATACGGCAAAGGATAAGACCTAACAATTCAAGACTCTGGCCAGAAACATAAATAGATGTTTCTTTGACATCACTGGTTATCAAGAAAATACAAATTAAAATAACAATCAGGTTTCTTTTTTGCCAATTAGCAAAAATGAAAAAAGATTGATAATATCCAATATAGATGAGGGTTTGCAGAAACAGGTATTGTTGGTGGCATAAGTTGATAACAGCTTTTTTGGAATAGTAGTTTGGCAATTTCTGTCAGAATTTAAAGTGTGCATTAACAGAATGAAAGACAAAAATCTACGAGCCACGTGATCATCTCCATAAATAACAGAACGAGTATTTGACAAGGTTTAACATCTTTTCATGATAAAAACTCTCAAAAAAAATAGATATAGAAGGAATTTTCTTCAACATAATAAAGGCCATTTATGAAAAGCTCACAGCTATCATAATCAATGGGGGTAAACTGAAGACTTTTCATCTAAGATCGGGGTGTCTAATCTTATGGCTTCCCTGGGTCACATTGGAAGAAGAGTTGTCTTGGGCCACACATAAAATCCACTAACACTGATGATAGCTGATGAGTGCTAAAAAAAATCTCATAATGTTTTAAGAAAGTTTATGAATTTGTGTTGGGCCACATTGAAAGCCATCCTGGGCCGCATGTGGCCCATGGCCTGCAGGTTGGATAAGCTTGATCTAAGATCTGGTATGAGGTAGGGATACGCACTTTTTACCACTTCTGTTCAACGTAATGCTGGAAGTACTAGCAGGACTACTCAGACAAGAAAAAGGAATAAAATACATTCAAATTGTAAAAGTAGTAGTAAAATTATCCCTGTCTGCAGATGACATGATCCTATATGTTGAAAACCCTAAAGACTGCAATAAAACTTAGAACTAATACATGAATTGAGTAAAGTTGTAGGACACAAAATCAGCATACAAAAATCAGTTGCATTTTTTACACCAATAACTATTCAAAAAAGAGATCAAGTAAACAATATTATTCATGACAGCATCAAAAATAATTAAATACTTAGGAATAAATTTGACCAAGGAGGGGAAAGATCTGTAACTGAAAACTAATTGATGGGAGAAATTGAAAAAGACATAAATAAATGGAAAGATACTCCATGTTCATGTATTGGAAGAATTAATATTTTAAAAATTATCTGTACTACCCAAAGCAATATACAGATTCAACACAATATCAGAATTCAAATAGCATTTTCACAGAAATAGAAAAAGCAATTTTAAAACGTATATGGAATCACAGAAGACTTCAAATAGCCAAAGCAATCTTGAGAAAGAAAAACAAAGTTGGAAGCATCACACTGCCTGTTTGCAAATATTATGAAGCTATAGTAATCAGAACAGTGTGGTACTGGCATAAAAACAGACATAGGGACAACATGAACCTGCAAGATGTTACATTAAGTGAAGTAAGCCAAGCGCAGAAAGACAAATACGGTATGATTTCATTTATTTGTGGAGTGTATATATTTATCCATAAAAGTAGAGAATAAAATGGTGGCTACCAGGGCTGGTGAGAGAAAAGGGGATCACTGAGAGTTTGCTCAAAGGAAATCAACATTTCAGTTAGATAGGAGGAATAAGTTCAAGAAATCTATTGTACAACCTGGTGACTATAGTTAATAATAGTGCATTGTATTCTTTAAAGTTGCTAAGAGAATAGATTTTAAGTGTTTTCACCACAAAAATGGTAAGTATGTGAGGTAAGTATGTGAGGTTAATTAGCTGAATTTAGCCATTTTACAATGTATACATATTTCAAAACAACATGCGTACTATAAATACAAGTTTTTATTTGTTGATTACAAAAGACATAGATTTACAGAATAGAGAGCCTAGCTAATTAACATACACATTATGTTAATTAGCTAAATTATGCATATGTTAATTAGCTCCTTAGCCAATTTACAATGTATACATATTTTAAAACAACATGCATACAATATATATACAATTTTTTGTCAATTACAAGACATACAGACTTATGAAATAGAATAGAGAGCCCAAAAATAAACCCAAGTGTATATGGTCAACTAATTTTTGACAAGGGTATCAAGAAGACACAATGGGAAAAGGTAGCCTCTTCGATAAATGGTATTGGGAAAACTGGATATCCACCTGCAAAAGAATGAAATTGGAGCCTTATACCATACTCAAAAATCAGCTCAAAATGGATTAAACATAAGACATGAAACCGTAAAACTCCTAGAAGAAAACATTGACAAAAGCTCTTTGACATTGGCCTTGGCAGTGATTTTTTGGATATTACACCAAAAGCTCAGGAAACAAAAATAAACAAGTGGGACTTCATCAAACTAAAAAGTTTCTGCACAGTAAAGGAAACAATCAAGATGAAAAGGCAGTCTGTGGAATGGGAGAAAATACTTGTGAGCCATGTATCTGATAAGTGGTTTATATCCAAAATACAAGGAATATATATAACTCAATACCAAAAAACAACCCAATTTCAAAATGGGCAAAGGACCTGAGTGGACATTTCTCCAAAGAAGACCTAAAAATGGTAAAGAGATATTTAAAAAGGGACTCAACATTATTAATCATCAGGGAAATGCAAATCTAAACCACATTGAAATATAATATCACCTCACACCTGGTAGGATGGCTGTTATCAAAAAGATCAGAGATAACGAGTGGTAGTGAGCATGTGGGAACAAGGGAACCCATGTACACTGTTGGAGGAATGTAAATTGGTATAGTTGTTAAGGAAAACAGTATGAAGGTTTCTAAAAAAAATAAGATAGAACTCTTGTATGATCCAGCAATCTCACTTCTGAATATATATTCAAAGGAAACAAAATTACTGTCTCAAAGAGATATTTGCGCTCCCTTATGCTAAATGCAGTAAGTCAGTTACAGAAAGACAAATACTGCATGACCTCAGTTTCATATAAAATCTAAAAAAGTTGAACTCCTGTACAGAAACTGAGAGTAGAAGAGTGGTTACCAGGGGTTAGAGGGAGGGGAAAATGGGTAGATGTTGATCAGTGGGTTCAGACCAACATCTACCCATACCAGTCAGAAAGGTAGTTATATAAATTATGCAGTAGCCATAATGTAAACTACTATGGAGCAATTTAAAAGAATGAACTAGATCTGTTTGTCCTGATTGATAAGATATCTTACTAAATTGAAAACAAGTTGCATAGCAATGTAGACAATATGATTCTGTTAAAACCCATGGAAATAAAAGTTGAGTATGTACACATCTAAATGTAAATGCCTAAAAGGGGGATGAACTTGCAGTTGAAATGGAGGTGTTTTAATTTTTTACTCTGTATGTTTCATTTTATTTAAATTTTGTACTTCTGTACTTCAAAAATATGATAAAGTTAAAAACAGACATTTAAACAGATAATATTGCTATTTTAATTTATTGTAATGTATTCTGCATTATATATTTCCATCTGGTTTCTTCATCCCTGCATGAATATGTAAAAAAAGATAATATAAAATGAAACCTTCTGTTCTTACCTCCTAAAATAATGTTACTAAATAATCCAGTTAGTAATACTTACTGAATCTTTGCTGTGAATATTTCCCTGTTCTTGGGAGCACTAAGAATAAATGGAAAGCTACTTTAACTATAGTTTCTATTAATTGAGTATTAACTGTGGACCAGAGTGTACAATGGCTTTATATCCATCACCTCATTTAATGTAGCATGATGCTCATTGTATAGATGAAAAGCCTGAGGATTCGATTGGTGAAGCATCTTTCCTAAAGTAGAATTTCACTTCAGGTCCTAGTCCTTTTGAATGCAGAACCAAGGCTTACAACCATTTCCTCTGATGCTCTTTCCAGCATATAATCTGGGAAGTGGAAATAACAACTGAATGTTTTCTCTTGTACTGGTCTGCATTGTGTATACATCCTTCGTATTGGTCTAGTTACATCAATCTGACCAAACAGTAAATGACATGCTGGTAATGACATACGAACTTCTGCAAAATGTAAACTGTCTGATGTTTGTTTTTCAGATTCAGGGGTCAGTTTACTTCATAAAAAATCATTAGAAAAGGAAGAATTATGCCAAAGACTTAAAGAACAGTTAGATGCTCTTGAAAAAGAAACTGCATCTAAGCTGTCAGAAATGGATTCTTTTAACAATCAACTAAAGGTATTTATTTTTGATACTATTTATTTTTAGGTAACTGCCTTCTTACCTTCATTATTTTGATTTAATAGAATAAATAGCTAAAGCTATTATATGTATTACATTTTCATAATTTATTTTATAATTTCAACTATACAAGAATTTCAAGATTGTTTTTAATGTTCTAGTTATATGACATAGTGTCATATAACTAAACATATACTTTATCACAGTTTCCAATTTTTGATGACTATGTGCTGTTTGTCTTGGCATCTATACATTTCCAGAACAATTGCCTTTGTCAGTATTACAGAACTGATCTCAGCCAGCGTTATCCTAGGCAATTTTCAAAAATGAGAAATATGGAAAATTTGAAATAGTTTAGGTGTTAGTGGCTCTTTTAACACAGTTTTTATTTTGTTTCCTTGTGAAGTGTAATTTAATTAACCTTTGTTAAATAATGCAATAATCAGTGAAATCTAGAACAGAATCTGGCACTATAAACTTTGCACAAAAAGCAAGTTAATGATTCATTGTTTGCCGCAGTGGCAGAGCAGATGTCCAAAACATAGACTGTCTGCATATCATTCACCACAGTATTCATTGTACACTGAAGCCATACCTATGAAAGAAACTAAAAACCCAGGCTCATGGCATAGAATGTAAATTTGGGAATAGTCTCAGTTATTCCTTTGCTAACAATATAAAGTTTCCAGAGCATAAGCTATTCTCTGTAAGAAATAAAGCTTTTCATAAAGCTTTTGTATAAGAAATCTCTCTCTTCATATGGCTTTTATCATGCTGACTTATTTAGAATAACATTAACAGCAAATATAGAGTAAACAGCATGCTAAAGAAAGGACAACATGGTGGCTTCAGGTAAGGAAAGGGAATTTGAGGTGAACAATGTTAATAATACACTTTACACAAGCATATGTTCAGTAGAAAAAAATTTTATAGAAAACCAAATCATTTGTCATTGCTGGTTAGACAAGCCAGCCAACTTATCTTCCCTATATTATTTCTTTAAAAAATCTACATAACTGGGCATGGTGGCTCATGCCTGTAATCCCAGCACTTTGAGAGGCTGAGGCGGGCGGATCACGAGGTCAAGAGATCGAGACCAGCCTGGGCAACATGGTGAAACCCCATCTCTACTAAAAATACAAAAATTAGCTGGGCGTAGTGGCATGCGCCTGTAGTCCCAGCTACTCGGGAGGCTGAGGCAGGAGAATCGCTTGAACCCGGGAGGTGGAGGTTGCAGTGAGCTGAGATTGCGCCACTGCAGTCCAGCCTGGCGACAGAGTGAGACTCCATCTCAAAAAAAAAAAAAAAAAAAAAAAAAAATTCTGTACGTAGTTTAATTGGCTTTTTATCTGCCTTATCTTACAGTGTGGGAATATGGATGACTCTGTTCTTCAGTGCCTTTTGTCTCTGCTAAGCTGTCTCAACAACCTCTTCCTCTTACTTAAGGTTATTTTCTAATATCTAGCTTCTTTTCTTTGAGTTACTTTGCTGTTTTATTTTTTTAAAACTAGACTATTCTTTGCCTTTATCTGAGTATCTTTGTTTGAAATAACATATACAATATAAGCCTTTTTCTTTCTGCTTGCTTGAATATCCTTCTGCTATCTGACTGCCTGTTTGAGTCTAATGCCAGAAGTCAGTAAGGTTGCCTGTCACAGTAACCTTTCTCAAAAGAAGTCCAGGACACTTAGAAATATAACCTGGTTCCTTTACAACATCCCTGGGAGTGGGTTAACTGATAAAGATGATTACTAACTCAATTCAAAGGAAAATGTGAGATTAAATCACTTACCCATATCACTGAAAATCAGTGTTTAAAATAAAACTTAATACTTTATGAAATCTAGGGCAAGTTTATGTCATATATGCACCAAGCTGCTTCCTAATACTGTTGTAAGGACAATTTTAAAGAACCAATAATGCAGGGGCAACTTTAGTCAGGTCTAGTTACCAGGCTCATATTTAGACATGCTTGCACATCAGATAAAAATGTTTAAATTATATAAATATTTCTCTTTGCCATGTATAACGTAGATTATTAAAAATATTTTAATAGAGCTTAAAGAAATGTGCTTTATGTTTACTGCTTGCTGACTCTAGTAGATTTTGACTACACATTTTACTCAGTACTAAAATGGATAGCAATAGGGCAGTTGCCTATATGCATATATATTCCACAGTGAAGACAGAAACATGATAAGTAGAGTTCATTTGTTACCTGAGCGAAGTAGGGCAAATTGGAAAGATGGTAGCAGCAGGGGACCCATATTTTAGCCTTTATGGTTATGGCATGAATGGCCAGATTATATGGTTTTTAGAACTTTTGCTACGGATTGCATAGAAACTAAACTAAGTTTCCTCATCTGTAAAGTGAAGTTTAATGATGATTTGTGGACTGTTCTCCCTCACAGAGTCTGATTCTTTGAGTTAGCATTTGATTCTCCACAGGCCAGCAGTTATTCTTGTCCCTTGTTTTACTTTGTTCCTTCTGCTTCCTGCCTTCCAGACTTACACTGCTTATTGATACTTTCATCAGAGCAATTTAGGAAACTAAAGAGATATGAAATCTATACTGTCAGAGCAGTCAGGAGACTGTGTTGTCACAGAAAGCAAGAAAAGAGGTCTTCTGTAGTTACTAGAAAATGATACAGAGTTATTAGTTAACATAGTGCTAAAAAATATTGGCCAGGCGCAGTGGCTCACGCCTGTAATCCCAACACTTTGGGAGGCCGAGGCGGGCGGATCACCTGAGGTCAGGAGTTTGAGACCAGCGTGGCCAACATGGTGAAACCCCGTCTCTACTAAAAATACAAAAAATTATCTAGGCATAGTGGCGGATGCCTGTAATCCCAGCTACTCAGGAAGCTGAGACGGGAGAATCGCTTGAACCCGGGAGGCGGAGGTTGCAGTGAGCCGAGGTCGCACCATTGCACTCCAGCCTGGTCAACAAGAGCAAAACTCTGTCTCAAAAAAAAAAAGAAAAAGAAAAATATCCATTGAATTTGTCAAAAAGAAAACTTTTGAAGACCTTGCTAAAAGTGCCATTTCACTTGAGTGATAAGCAGAAGCTGGATTGCAGTGGATCAGGAATGAGTAAGAGTTGAGGAAGGGTTAAGTGAGTAGCAACAACTCTTAGAATGAAAAGAAAAAAGCATGGGGGTCAAAGGAAAATCTTTTTTTTTTTTTTTTTTGGTTTAAGAAAGACTTGAAGGAAATAGTAAAGAGAAAAGAAAGGAGGAGGCAGGGGGAAAGAGAGAAAGATTGAGATTGTGGTAATTGATGGAGCAAAGTCCCTGAAGAAGCAGATTAAGATGGAATGGAGAGCACAGATTAAAGGATTAGATAAAAAGAATACTTTCAGTGTAACATACGGGGAGAAGATGGTTATGAATGCAGTTAAATTTGTTGGTAGAGAGTAGGAAGTTGACAGTAAAACGGGAAAGGTTCCCTTGTCCCCCTTGAAGGGCAGGTGATGGGGATGTGGCTCACTTCTTCAGTGCTCCCCTGCTCAAACCTCTAGGGGAGCATACAGATGGGCAGGCTGTGGGGCTCTGACCCCACGGCAGTGTCTAGGGGTGAATGTTTACAGCTGAAGCCCCAGTGGGGGTGTGTTACAGAGTGCTCTTTTAGTTTGCCGTCTATAGGCGGTTCGTGTTACCCAGCTCAGTTAGACCCCCTTCCTTATCACAAGGACAGAACAGAGGGATTTCTGTATCCCAGGGTTTCTTGCCTTGGTGTACTGGAAGAATTGGATCACACGTGGGCTTGGAGAATGAATGCAAGGTTTTATTGAGTAGAAGTAGCTCTCAGCAGATGGGGGAGCCAGAAGGGAGACGGTTTTACCCTGGAGTCGGGCCGCAACCTGATTTCTCACTGCTCTGGCCAAACTCCGCATTGTTCCTCTGGTCAGTGGCCTGCTGGCCTGCTGGTGCCTGTTGACATGCTCTTCCACCGGCGTGCTCTTGATGACCAGCTGCTTGTGTCGTCTTCTGCCGATGTGGTCCTCATGACGTCCAGCCACTTATGCCTCTGCCTTTTTAGGATCTCGGGTTTTTGTAGGCACAGGATGGTGGCGTGGCAGGCCAGGGTGGTCTTGGAAGATGCAACATTTGGGTGCAAAGGCAGGAGTGCCTGTCCTCACCTAGGTTCATGGGCATAGGCCCGAGGCTGAAGCCCTAGCCAGGGACCCGCCTTTCTCTACCCAGTACTTCCCTGGCCCACTCCCATATCGACAGCTTCAAGACTTAAAATCAGAGGTAAGTTGGACCATCAGAAAGAATCTTCCTGGGTAGAGGAGGACATGATATAACTCAGCCTAGGCCAGAAGAAGAGGGGTGGAGATGCAGAAAGTGCTATTGGTTTTTTGAGATGGAAAGTTGAGAGGGCTGCAGTCTGATGGCCTAATGAGGCAAGGTTTATAGCTGGTAGTGAGGAGAATGGATGGAAGATTAGGAAGTTTCAGGAGAGAAATAGGCATGAAATAGACATCTCAGTGCAGATATGCAAGCTTAGTAGAGGAAAACCTAAGTGTGCTGAGCAATGTTGAATGTCTTTTTGAAGTTGGAGGTGATGTATTTAAATTGAAAACAGTATGCCTAATTGTGTGATTTTGCCTCACCAATGTTCAGCTGTTTAGGTATAAGCACAGAGAAAGCTGATGAAATAGGTTCATGGTTCATACAGGTTTGAGGTTTTAATAGACATGCACAAAGAGAGAGGGACAGAAGAGTTACAGATCTTGACAAAAGCACTATGATCAAGATGAGCTCTGAAACATGAACTAGACATGAAGGATGTGAAGAGAGGAAGGGGTGTTAATAAAGAAAGAGAATGATGGGAGTCAACAGAATGGTCTCAGTGAGGTTGAAAACCTATTGATGGCTGGGCGTGGTGTCTCACGCCTATAATCCCTGCACTTTGGGAGGCTGAGGCGGGTTGATCACCTGAGGTCAGTAGTTTGAGACCAGCCTGGCCAACATGATGAAACCCCGTCTCTACTAAAAATACAAAAAATTAGCTGGGTGTGGTGGCACGCGCCTTTAATCCCAGCTACTCGGGAGGCTGAGGCAGGAGAATTGCTTGAATCTGGGAGGTGGAGGTTGCAGTGAGGCAAGGTTACACCACTGCACTCCAACCAGGGCAACAAGAGCAAAACTCTGTCTCAGAAAAAACAAACAAACAAACCCTATTGATATAGATGTACCAGGTATAAGAAAAGTTCGAAGGGTAAGAACTTACGTTTGAAGAATGGGATATTTGGTCAATGGTAGTTCTGTTTCTGATTAGTAAGACTCAGGGTGTAATAATGGGAGTGATGGATTAAGTAGAGTTAAAAAGGTCATTGATGAAGAGATCAGCCTGAGACTTGAGGTTTGGATTGCATCATTTATGTGGATGTCAAAGACTTAGAGAATAGTGAGGTGAGTGAATGACCAGGTGACTAATAGATAACAATAAAAAGGAAGGAGAGAATGGTATTGCTGGATGGTAGGAGCCCCAGAAAAGCATGGAGTTGCTAAGAGTGAGGGGGAAATAACCATCTGAAAGTGGCAGTGAAGAGCAAGGAAAATACTGTAGTTATCCTCTGACCCTGATGTAAATGGAGTATATGATAATAAACTGAGAGAGGACTAGCAGAAAAGTAGTATCCGGAGGGATCAGCCAAGAAAGTGACGAGGGAAGAGAATTTTCGTTCAGAGAAGATTGGTAGCTGTATGATAGTTTCCTGATCACATAGAGGAAGTTCCAGGAGAGTGGAGAGGTTTGAGGAGAGAATGAGTAGGGGATTGGGTCAGATTAAGGGATAAACAGCACTGTAGAGATAAGAATTCAGGTGATAAGGAATGAGAAGAAAGGCTGTGTCTTATCAGTAGGTGAGATGGAACTGGTCCTGGTAGTGTTGGAGCAGGACAGGCACTTAGTTCTGATGCTGTGGTCCTTTGTGATAGTAGAGCACCGGGGTTAACCACCACTCCTTTAGGCTACTTGTAGTGACAACAGAAGTAAAATATTTCAATTATTTAATTTAGAATGTTATGTTTTACTGGAACCTGCAATATGCATGTACAGAATTAATGATTTTTACTCTTTTGGTCAAGTTATACTAAGACAAAGCCAGTGGATTCAAAAGTGAGACATTTGACAGGCCATTATACCATTAAGAAAATTCACACATCTGGCCAGGTACTGTGGCTCACGCCTGTAATCCCAGCACTTTGGGAGGCTGAGGCGGGTGGATCATGAGATCAGGAGTTCGAGACCAGCCTGGCCAACATAGTGAAACCTCATCTCTACTAAAAATACAAAAAATTAGCCGGGCATGGTGGCAGACGCCTATAGTCCCAGCTACTTGGGAGGCTGAGGCAGGTGAATCACCTGAACCCGGGAGGCGGAGGTTGTAGTGAGGTGAGATTGGGCCACTGCACTCCAGCCTGAGCAACAGAGCGAGACTCCGTCTCAAAAAAAAAAAAAAAAAAAAAAAAGAAAATTCACACATCTTTAGCAGTGAAGTGCAACGAAAACTCCTGGCCTAGGAATCTAAAAAAGTGAACTCTAGTCTTATCCATGCCACTTGCCAGTTGTGTAACGATCTGTCATTTACCCTCCAAATTTGCTTTCTTCCTTTACAAAACATGCTGACATTATCTGCCTGTCTTCTTTGCAAAGTCTTGTGATTAAATGAGATCGCATATAGATGGAAATGCTTTGTAAACTCTTATATACGAATATACAAATATTTTTGTTATTTGTGAAAAAACAAAATTACTTTCCCTCACTCTTCTTAAGAAAGGGGTTGTCAGAATCTCCAAAATATCTTTAGTATTTTGGAAAGTCAACCAGTGTTGACTTGAGATAATGATTGGGGAAATGCTTGTCCATAGAGGGAAAGTAGAATCTGTTAATGGTAGAATTGTGGTTTCCTTCAAGGAGTTAGGTCTTAACCCTATGCTTCCAAGGATCTGGAGTAATCTACGTTAGTAATACCCCTGCAGGTGGCATAACCTGCCATGACCAAGTTGGATTTACCTCAGCCATACAAAGATGATTTAACATACAGAAAAGTTTAATGTAATTTACTATATAAACAGACTAAAGGAGAAAAAGATTATGCTCATCTCATTAGATACAGGAAAGGTTTTTGATAAAATTTAATATCCATTTATGATTTTAAAAGTAAAACTTATTAGCAAACTAGTAATAGAAGTTCCTTAACGTAAAAGAGATAATCTATCATTCTGTTAAGATTGAGAACAACTTGGCTGGGTGCAGTGGCTCACACCTGCAATCCCAGCCCTTTGGGAGGCCGAGGCAGGTGGATTGCCTGAGCTCAACAATTCACGACCAGCCTGGCCAACATGGTAAAACCCCGTCTCTACTAAAAATGCAAAAATTAGCCGGGCGTGGTGGCATGAGCCTGTAATCCCAGCTACTCAAGAGGCTGAGGCAGGAGAATTGCTTGAACCCGGGAGGCGGAGGTTGCAGTGAGCTGAGATCGCGCCACTGCACTCCAGCCTGGGCGACAGAGCGAGGCTCCATCTCAAAAAAAAAAAAAAAAAAAAAAAAGATTGAGAACAACTCTTAATGAATTCTGATTGGTTTATTTTTTTCTTGCTTAACTATTATGTGTAGCAAGGACCTCCTGGAAGTAGTGACTTAACCCAGAGGAATAGGTCTAAGGATAGGAATTTTTACATCACCATAGTCAAATAGAGGAAATACTTGGCAAGCTTTGTGGTGCTCTTTAAATCTTACTAATTTGCATAGACTATTGTTTATGCATTTTTCATTTGTCCAATAAATATTTATTAAATATCCATGTTGTACTAGACTCTCTGTTGGCTGGAGACACCTTGATGAAAGACAGTCTTGTCAAGAAACTCACTTCAGTGGAGGAGGCAATCATATAGTTGGAAGAGAAGACACTATGATAGAGGAATATACAGAATGGCACAAGGAAGCTCATTAACTCTGACACTGCAGGGAATAGGGTTAGTAAAGGAATACTTAGAGCTCTATTTTAAAGGACAAGTTGGAGGGCTAAGCCTGCAGCCTTGTTGAGATCAGACATTAATTTGGCTCCTTTTTACTCTCCTTTTAGACTGAGTACTCTCCTCATTTTTGACTTCATCCAATAATAATAACTAAGATTTACTGAGAACCTAGGTGCTCTGCACTATAATAAGCACTTTATATGTATTAACTCATTTTATCCTCACAACAACTCTGTGAGGCACGTATCATAACAGGCTTCCCCAACCCGTGGTCCACAGGCCACATGCGGCCCAGGACAGCTTTGAATGCAGCCCTACACAAATTTGTAAACTTTCTTAAAACATTATGAGATTTGTTTTTGCAATTTTATTTATTTATGTATTTATTTTTAGCTCATCAGCTATTGTTAGTGTATTTTACATGTGGCACAAGACAATTTTCCCTCTTTCCATGTGGCCCAGGGAAGCTAAAAGATTGGACACCCTTGTACCATAATTAACCTCATTTTACTGATGAGGAAACTATAAAATAACTTTCCTAAGGTTATACAGCTAGTATACAGAGCCTGAGTCAAGCCTTGTTAGTCTTATTCCAGACCCATGCTCCTCATCACTAAACCACCTTGCTTCTCTATATATTGTAACCACTATATTCTTCTGCTTTTCAATAGAATTTAGAGAAAGGTACAACAAATAAAACCCTAGAAGCTGAGAGCTGTGGAAATTCTGCTATAAAAGCAGTATGCATTACTATTGGCTTAAGTTGTAAATGTTTTGCTCAGACATGTTGGACATAGTCTCTGGACAGCATGCTGTACTTAGATCAAATCTACTATTTCAATCAAGTAAAAGGTTCACTTATAAAATAGTTATCTCTGAAAAGAAATGGAGTTTGGAGTTGTGTTATTGTGTATAGGTTGATACCAAAAAACATTTTTTACCAAAACATTCTACCCAAATATTGTCCAGCTCTCACCTTTGCCATGAAGTTTCTTTTGATTACTCTTAAGTCCCCCCGCCCCCACTTCTTTCCTCCAGCCTCCTTTTTCTACTCTCTCGTTCAGGATTCTGTAGATTCCAAATGAAAGAAATCTAGTTCAAAATAGTTAAGCTAATGAGTGATTATTAGAAGCATCCTAGGACCACTAACTGAATCCATGGAAGGGCTGCTGGACAGGGGCAGTTCCTAGGTCTCCGAGCCATGATATTGAACATTCAGCTTCTATAGTACCCTTTCTCTCCAGCTCAGTCTCTAATCTGTACTTCTCTTTTTTCTGAGTTGATTTTATTCCTATCCCCAGGTCTTATTTGGTTGTGAGGCAGCTCCAGGTTTACTTTATCCCAGTTTAATGAGCTGCAGAAAGGTTTCTTTCTCCCCACTTCAACATATGTGAATCCCAGGAAAATATTCTGGGCCAGCTTGGATTATGCTTATGTCCTTTGGACCAGTCGTTTCTGAGCAGGGAAGTAAGGTGCTGTGATTGTTTAGGTCAGGAGTAAACAATTGTGCCTGATGGGAATGGGAGGAGCTCTGAGTTTGGCAGACCTTTTAAAACCACGTAAGATGTTGGGAGGAAGGTGGAAAGATCAGTTTCCTAGAGGAAGGCAGGGTGCTGTTGAAGAAGAGGAAGAGAAAATGCTGAACAGATAATCACAAGTTCCTGCTAAGGAATTTACCTCTGCCCTGCATGTTGACACTTGCCTCTACATTGAGATTGTGAACTCTTTAAAGACAAAGTCTGTAGACGTGGGAGTCAGCCTTGTATTGGATCCTCTTGGAACGCTTTATAGCACTTAGCATACAACTAGATGTTCAATAAGCAGTTGTTTATTTCAACTCCTGTTTGGAATGCTTTTCATTATTTTGGCTCATGGTGGTCATGATTTTAGGCAGACATCTTTTCCATTTTTAGTTTTGAACTAAATTATTTAATAATTCTGTGTTTAGTTCAAGATGATATTGGATAAAAATAACTTGGTTAAATTACATATGTCAAAAACATGACTGAACAAAATTTCTCTTCAGATGTTATAACAAGCAAATTATTCCCCCATATTTTTAATGGATTGCTTTTTTTAATTGAAAATGATGTACCAAATCAAAGCATCGGCTTGTTAAAGATTCTGTGTTCCGTAGAAATGAACTGATGGAAAAGTAGATTATTTTAATGTGTTTATCTCAGGAGCTATATGGTTTAAATACTTAAGGTTTTTTTTATCATCTAGATATTTTTTAAAACTTTAAATATTTTAAATTTAGTTCAACTTGCTATAGGATTTTTATCTTTTAATGCAAATGCCACATTAATACATATGACAAGCATATTTAAATCATTCACGTATTGACTTATTTTCTTTTTCTCCTTAGGAACTGAGAGAAACCTACAACACACAGCAGTTAGCCCTTGAACAGCTTTATAAGATCAAACGTGACAAGTTGAAGGAAATTGAAAGGAAAAGATTAGAACTAATGCAGAAAAAGAAACTAGAAGATGAGGCTGCAAGGTAATATAGCTGATATATTTATTGTGCTATATTGCCATTAGAATTGTAATTTTGTTGCTCATATCTTTAGTTTATGAAAATTTAAGGAAAATAAAGGGATTATCCTAATCAGATTCTGGATCTCATAAGTTCAGTCCTTTTAGGGATCAAGTTTGCAGTAACTGATTTTATTTTCTACTAGTGAAAAATAACAGACTTTGGAGTCAAACCTGTATTAGAATTCTTGCTCTTCCACTTACTACCTGGGTGACCTTGGTTAAGTTATTTTTATCTTTCTGAACCTCAGTTACTCCATCTGAAAATAGAGACAATAATGCATATCTCATAGGTAAATGTATTAAATAAAATAATACAGCTGGAACTGGGCGTGGTGACACACGCCTGTAGTCCCAAGCTATTTGGGAGGCTGAGGCAGGATGATGAGTTGAGCCCAGGAGTTCAAGGCCAGCCTGGGCAACATAGCAAGACCTTGTCTCTTAAGTTAAAAAATAAAATAATGTAGCTAAAGAGCCAAGTATAATTTGTTGCACATAGTAAACACTCATTCATTCCATCTTTCCTTGGTAAATCTATTAGTTTCCTGAAAGATCATAAAAGCAGAATACTTAATTGTATATAGTAATACTGAATGTAGAATGCCACATTGATGCATTTCTCTTTTTATCACTTGAGATATATTAATTGCCTCCATTTATAGTAAGGAGAAGTAAGACATTTGTGGTATCTGAAGCCTAGAATTATTCATTTAGAAACTTTGCATGGTATTTTTCTGCCATTGAGATTCTTTTTCTAATACATTCTTCTCTTTCTTCCAAGTTTTCTAGTATCAGAAAGTAGTATAATTAGTTAACAAATATGGATGAACCAGTATTTTTTTGCCTTGGTAAAGAGTAGATGAGTAATTTCTATGAAAAAGCTAATAGTTACTAGGGAGGCAAGGAAGACACATTACCATTTGGCAGGCCTCTATTCTTAATGGTTTCAAAGTAGCCACCTCCAACACATTTTTTTGAGTGGCTATTGTTGGCTGTGATGCTGGTAGACTTTGGATTACTCCTCATAATTCTAATAGGAGATTCAGACAGTTAAACGAATAACTATAATATTGTTTACTCCTAGACCCCCATTTCTTTATTTTGAGACAGGGTCCTTGCTCTGCCACCGAGGCTGGATTGCAGTGGTATGATCAGGGATCACTGCAGCCTCGACCTCCCGGGCTCAAGCAATCCTCCTGCCTAAGCTCCCACTGAGTAACTGGGAATATAGGCATGTACCACCACTCCCTGCTAATTTTTTTTGAATTTTAATAGGGATGAGGCCTCTCTGTGTTGCTCAGGCCGGTCTCAAACTCCTGGGCTCAAGCGATCTGCCCACCTTGGCCTTCTAAAGTGCTGGGATTATAGGCATGAGCCACTGCGCCTGGTGATCTAGACCCCTGTTTTTGTGGCCTCCTAACGAGATAATAGAATAATATAGAAGTAGAGAAAGTAAAGTTCAAACGAAGTAGCTCTTACAGCTCTTATTTACTGCTTAACTTGTACCACTTAATTACATAAGGGAGCTGTGCAGTGGTTCCACAGCTAATCCTTATGTCAGAACTTTCTATTGACATATGCAGTTACCTTAATCTTTCTTCATCGTGTTCACAATTCCTTTCAGGCCAAAAGATTATACTAGTTATATGCGTTTAATTTCATTCATCATCCTTGCACATTAGGTAGTAGAGAAGAGAAATCAAAGAGAGCGGAAGTGCATATAGGACCTACTCAGTCTGAAGCTGGGTCTTAGTACCACATCTTGGATTGATTGGCCATTTGCCCAGGTATATTCCCTTCTTTTCCCCAAGGTATTGGTAATAGGTTTTCACATTTTAGTTGTGGCCTCTTTGCCCTTTGCCCAGCTTCTGAGGCATCCTGTGGCACTGGACCGGTTTCTCAACTACTAACTCTTACATAAAGTTTACCAGAATTCTGGCATGATTTCCTGCAGGTTGAGCTCAGCCAAGTACCACCCCTCAGTAAGCCTAGAGTAGAGGGGCCTGACATCCTTTCCTTAAATTAAACAAGGAGCCTTATCCAGGTTGTCCTAGTCTCATACTTATGTGGCCATGATTACCTGGCAGGAGGAGTTGATGGAAAGAATGAAGAGCTTAAAAAATATATAGAAAATTTTAATTTAATGAGCCCTCTGGTTTTTTTGTTGTGCTAAATATGTGCTAAGTACTCTGATAGTGATATTTATAATGCTATAAAAATTCAAATGAAAGCTAATTGGGTATTAATTACTAGGCTTGGAAAAGTGTCCCGGAAAGTTACAGAGGAACTGAGAAAGGGGATATTAGTTGAAATTAAGTGAGGACTGCAAGAGAAGCATTTTCCTCACAGGAGAACCAGAAGTCCGTTTTGAAAGTTGCCGGAGGAAGCATTCTATGACATGATAGAGGATGAAGGAGGTTTGGAAATTGTTGGAAGGAATCTAGTAAATGGGCTAGTGAACCAGCAGTATGAAGTCTGAAACAGTTGAGAGATAAGGAGAAAGCATTGATGACTAAGGGCCTACAATATTTTGAATTATCCAGGATTTCGAGATTCCTTCAGGAATTAAGGAATAGAGATGTGGAATTATGCCAAGGTTCCCACTTTGGAAGGGTATATATGCTGACAAATCTCAGGAATGTTTCCAGCTGTAATCTTCACTGCCCTGATAGTGCTGAGGCTTGGAGAAGGTGCTAAATTTAAGTGGTGGCAGCTCTACCTCTGAGTAAGGTTGTGAAAATACATGCAAAGGAGAACTATAAGATGCATGAGTTCTAATACTAAAATAATTGATCACAGATCACCTTGACTGGCTGGAAACCAAACTGTAGCTGTGTTAGATTTCATTGAAATGTTTACCAAAGCACGTGGACCTAGAGAGGAGAAATGCTCTATTATCTAAGCAAACAAAAAAGACTTTTTGAAGTAATAATATAAAAAGTAGACTGGGCGCAGTGGCTCATGCCCGTAATCTCAGCACTTTGGAGGCCAAGGAGGGAAGATTACTTGAGGCCAGGAGTTCCAGACCAGACTGGGCAACATAGCAAGACCCTGTCTTTATAAAAAAGAAATTAAAAAGTTGGCTAGGTATAGTGGCATGTGCCTGTAGTGCTAGCTACTTTGGAGGCTGAGGCAGGAGGATCACTTGAGCCCAGGAGATCCAGGCTGCAGTGACCTGTGATTGAACCACTGTACTCTAGCCTGGGCCATAGAGTAAGACCCTCTCTCTTTAAAAAAAAAAAAAAAAAAAAAAGTAGGTTGTTTTTCTAGAAGCATTTCCTATTTCCACAGCAACAATGACTAAACCCCTGAAACAAAGATTAGATAGGACAGTGGGAATAACAGCTGGAAGACAGTTCTTGTCAAATATCTGGAGAGAAAGGAAGGAAACTTAGATGTAATTTTTAGATTTATTTGCTGAATGGTTCCATTTCAACCTTTTTCTTTTTTTCTTGAGTTTGGAGGTTGGTTAGCAGGAGGGAATTTTTGGGTGTGGGAAATTGTCAGTCATACACCCCAGTGCATCCACTAATCAATCCAAAGCTTCCAAAGCTTTTCTTGATTGATTGATTGATTTGTTTTCCTTTCACCTCTGATCTCAGCAGTTTCTCCCCACCCCTGTACTAATACTTCATTGCTAGTTCTTCACCTTGACAGGAACCAGATCTTAGTATGTTTTTATTTAGTGTAAAAAATTTCTAGGACATTATACAAACTCTTTTTCTTTTATGTAAAGGAAAGCAAAGCAAGGAAAAGAAAACTTATGGAAAGAAAATCTTAGAAAGGAGGAAGAAGAAAAACAAAAGCGACTCCAGGAAGAAAAAACACAAGAAAAAATTCAAGAAGAGGAACGGAAAGCTGAGGAGAAACAACGTAAGGATAAGGATACTTTGAAAGCTGAGGAGAAAAAACGTAAGGATAAGGATACTTTGAGACAGTAGAACAAATGCAACAAGAAAAAAATGACCTGATAAGAGACAAAAAAAGGGAAGAAAATTAGAAAGATACTAATTGTAGAGTCAGAAAAAACCTTTTTATAAATTAAACTTGGATAAAAAGCAGTAGGCTTATTAAAACAGACTGAAATCTTAACACAGCAGTAGAAATCTTAGCACAGCAGGAGAAAAGAAGATAGTTACTACTGATTGTGAAAAGACTCAGACATGGTTTTCATAATTGAAGTAAAATAGTTTTAAATATTTTATTCAACCACTATAACTAAGCTATTTATTTTAATGAAACAACAGTAAAATTTTGATACACCTCAGTCCATTTCCACAATACTTTTAGTAGTATTGTATCTCTTTTAGATACATGAACCCTTTGAATCATTATTAATGATACAGTTTGTTGAAATTTTATAAGTTAAAACATTCTAAAGATGAACAAAGTAAACAATTTTATTCTTATCAAATTCAGTATATTTGTGTACTCTTCCACTGTTTTCCTTTTAGAACCATTCTGATAGATGTATAGATTTTTCTTCAGCCATCCCTGTTAACTTGCTATTCTTATCTTTTGAGACCCCCCTTTTTGTCCTTTACTTCCCTGTTATATTCAGACCTCCACAGATCAAACCAAGCCTCTCTTTGCTTGGTCTCCTTCCACTTTGTACAGCTCAGCCTGGCCCCCACTCCTGCACTTTCCTTTCTACCCATGTGTGTGCTTCATCCCGCAAGTCATCTCTTTGTTTTGCTGCCTCCTACCTTACTTAAGATGAGCATCCTTGTTTGCTTTTTTATTAGATGACTAGTCAAGATACTGAAATCCTAGCAAGTCTGTATCAAGTGGATTTTCATTGTAGTATTTGGTGCTTGATTTTTTCTTTTAGGTTTTAGAGCTCTTTATTGAGTCATAGCAAAGATGTATACATGTAAGTTGCAAATAATGACAATTGTCTTCTCTTTAGGTGAGACAGCTAGTGTTTTGGTGAATTATAGAGCATTATACCCCTTTGAAGCAAGGAACCATGATGAGATGAGTTTTAATTCTGGAGATATAATTCAGGTAGGAAATGAATTTTTTTTTTAATCATGAATAACCTAAATACATTGTAATATATTAGTTTCTGTAGTAATGTTGACCATTAATTTCATATATTTACCTTTGTAAAATGTTTCTTAAACATTACCTCATTTGGACTTTACAACATACTTCAGAGCTGCATAGGACAGTTATTATTACTAACTAAGTTCTAGCCAAGGAAGCTTAAACTCACACAAGTTGTAACTGTCAGCATTGCAGTGCCAGAATGGGATGCAGTTATGTGTTTTTTTATTTCCAAATCCAGCGTTGTTTCTGCTATGCCATACAGCAACTGTTAAAAGAATTGAAGGAGTTAGATTCCACAGCCCTAACTGGATACAGGCAATTTGTTCCTTGGAACGAAAGTCTTTATTGTGTTATCACAATCCATATAAAATACATGAATAAGAGAAGATCCCAGGAGTAGTGTTTGATAGAGCCAGTAGGACATAATGGAAAGAGTACAGGCTTTAGAAGCACACAAACTTGGATTTTAGTCTCTGCTTCTGTTTTCTTCTTGTTAAACTAATGTTAACCAGAGTATCTAGCCAGAGTATCTAGCCAGTGCCTCTTTCCCCCGCTCCCCCTGCACTGTCACCAGTTAGTGTGATTTATCAGTTAGGTGGCAAATGTTTAATGATACTAGGGAAAAAAATTTACCAAAACGCTAGCACCCAAGATAAACCCTAAACACACATTCCTGCTCTTGCCATTGCCGCTATTAGTAGTACCGGAGCTGTGCCCGAGCAGGGGGAGAGGTTTGTTCTACAACCAGCCCAAGTCCACTGTCTGCTCTTCCTACCATTCCTCCTCTCCTTGTTGGTGATGGTGTCTGGATGAAGAGATACAACCAATCTCTGGGCGTGTTTGGTCAAGAGTTTACTTATATTTTTGGTTATATTTTTTATTTATTTCAACAAATATTTTTTGAGGGCTGACTATGTTAGACTAGGGATTTAGTGAATAAGACATTATCTCTGCTCTTAACACGCTTGTAGGCTAATGAAAAAGCGTGACAACCTAAAGCAGTAGAGGAAGGAAGGTAAGGAAAAGGTTGTAGACTGCTACCAGCTTTAGCACAGACCTCTCCCATGGTCAGAGAGCCATTCTGGTGGCAGTGACAACAGAAACATAAAGTTAGCTGTGTGTCTTGGGTGCTTGTGTACTCTGCTGAATCATTAACATGAAGTATTAGTCATGAGTTACTACTGTCAGTCATGAGTTGCCTGATTTGAACAAATTGGTTAATGATGGTGTCATTTCCTAAGAGGGAAAATCAGAGGGGGAATATATAAGTAGAATTATGAGTTCAGTTTTGTATGAGTTTCAGATGTCCAGGCAGTAGTAGTTGGATCTCCAGAGTACCTAGAGAGATGTCAGGCAGCGGTCTGGGCTGAGGATGTAAATCTGGATGTCGCCAGTGTGATGTGATGGTGTTGGAAGACATGAGAGTAATGGAGCTCATCCAGGGGAGTAGTAACGTGAGAGAGAAGAGGATTGAGGATGCAGTTCCTGAGAAACATGGACACTGAAGGAATTATTAGAGGAAGTGGAGCCTTAAAAGGAGTGACTAGTAGTAGGAAAAAAAAAAAAACAGGAGAGTTTAATGTTAGGGAACTTTGAGAAGAGTGATCTGCAAGTGAAATAAAACAAGGACTAAAAAAATTATTAGATTAGCAATAGCACAGGTGTTGTTAACTTGAGGACAGCAGTATCAGTTAAGTGGACTAGTAGAGCGAGAAGCCAGATTTCAGTGAGTTGGAATAAATTGGAAGAGAGGAAGAGGAGACAGTGAATATATAAAACTCTTTGAATGAGCTTGGCTTTGAAAGGGAGAAGGAGAGAAGGTAGTAAATAATGAGAAATGTGGGTTGAGGGAAGTTTTTTTTTTTTTTAAAGTTGGCTGAAGCTTGAGCAAGTTTAAATAATAGTAGAAAGGATCTGCAGAGAGGAAACAGGTTAATGATAATGGAAAGAGTATAAATAACTGATAAAGATTGTTTTTTCTTATTAAAGTATAATTTATATATAGCAAAGTGTACAACCATAAGTATACAGCTCAAAGAATGTGTACACATCTGTGTATCTGTGAAGCCCCCCTCAGATCAGTGTGTAGAACGTACAGCATCAGGAAGGCACTTCATGTTCCTTGTCAAACCTCCCTGTTCTGACTAATAGATGGAGATGAGGAAGATTCTTGAAAAGGCTAGAAGGCTGGAATCTGGAGCCCTGGAAGAGAGTGGTAGAAGGATTGAATACCTTATCCTTTGTCATTAGAGGGCAGGAAGAAAGGGTGGGAGGGATTAAAGTAAATTTTGCTGAAGTAGAAGATGAAGTCAGGTCCCAGGACTTCCAAATTCCCGGTAAGATAGGAGGCAAGGTCTGATCAACTTAATGGATGAGGGTGTTACCGGAGGTTTCATTGAAAGTGAAAAGGATTAGAAATTCCACTGAGTCTTGGCCACATTTTCGATGACAAGCTGAAATGTTTTTCTAGCCTTCTAATCTGTTAATGCTATTTTGCTAACATTAATTAATAAGTAGTTAAGAAGAAGTAATAAGTAGTTTTGCTAGGCCTGTGAGAATTTATATAAAATGTTCAGTTTAACTCAGTATGTAAATTAACAACTAAAAATTAATTACAACTATAAATGACAGATGTGAAAGAGATTAAAATTGACCTCTTACTAAAACAACTTGGCCTAACTACAGAATAAATGAACGAGATTTTTCTTCTTGATTAGGTTGAAAACACTAGGAAAAAGTGTATCTAGAAATTAATACTTTTAAAAGCTTTTGGCCAGGTGCAGGTGCACACCCATAATCCCAGCACTTTGAGAGGCCGAGGCAGGAGTATCACGTAGGTACTGGCGTTAGAGACCAGCCTGGGCAACATAGGAAGACCCTGTTTCTACAAAAAGTAAAAAAAAATTAGCGGGGCTTGGTGGTGTGCACCTGTAGTCCCACCTGCTGTGGAGACTGAGGTGGCAGAATCACTTGAGCCCAGGAGGTCAAGGCTACAGTGAGCTGTGATTGCACCACTGCACTCTAGTAGCCTGGGTGACAGAGTAAGACCCTGTCTGAAAAGTCAGCCAGCCAGCCAAGTCCGTCAGTGAAGGGAGGTAGAAAGGAAAGTAGGAAGGGCATGTAAGTAAATGTGGTAAATGTGTGTGTGTGTATGTATGTATGTACATATGTGTACCTATATATAGCCAATACTCATAGCTTACGGTGATTCCTTTCCTTAAGACCATACTTTTTTTTTTTTTTTATACTTTAAGTTCTGGGATACATGTGCAGAACGTGCAGGTTTGTTACATAGGTATACATGTGCCATGGTGGTTTGCTGCACCCATCAACCTGTCATCTACGTTAGGTATTTCTCCTAATGCTTTCCTCCCCTAGTCCCCCACCCCCTGACAGGTCCCGCTGTGTGATGTTCCCCTCCCTGTGTCCATGTGTTCTCATTGTTCAACTCCCACTTGTGAGTGAGAACATGTGGTGTTTGGTTTTCTGTTTCTGTGTTAGTTTGCTGGGAATGATGGTTTTCAGCGTCATCCATGTCCAAGACAATACATTTAAATCAGGTACAATGCTGAGCATTTTGCAGCATTGAAATACTTTGGTTTGTGTAATTCCTCAGGGTTTATTGTATTCTTGTCTGAATTTATATTGCTCTGGCTTAGCTATTTTATTTTATTTATTTATTTATTTTTGAAACTGGGTCTCAATCTGTTACCCAGGCTGGAGTGCAGTGGCGGGATCATGGCTCACTACAGCCTCGACCACCCGAGCTCACGCCATCCTCCCACCTCAACCTCTTGAGTAGTGGAGACTACAGGCACACACCACCACACCTGGCTATTTTTTTTTTTTTTTTTTTTTGTGGAGATGGAGTTTCTCACTATGTTGCCTACGCTTGTCTCAAACTCCTGGCCTCAAGCAACCCTCTTACCTTGGCTTCCCAAAGTGCTGTGATTACAGGCATGAACCACCGTGCCTGGCAGACTTAACTATTTTAAACTAGTCTTAAACTAGATTTACAGGATAATATTTCATAAGTGTTTGCTTTCATTCTAACTATTTTAGAACACCATTTTATGGGAGCTACATTACTGTGACATCATACAGTTTAGCCATAGCAGCTCTGGTTTAGGAGTTTTCTAAATATTTCATTCATGATGTAATAAATAGCCAGACATATAACATTAAAATGAGAATTATTTACCATAAACATAAATGAAGTTGCCCTAATAATCCATTTATTACTAATTAAGCTTTAAGTCTATTGTTAATCAAATTTAGAATAATCCATTCAAGTTAACATTTGTTGAGTTTGTAACCATGTGCCTCTGGTGACATACAAAAATGAATAAGGAGACCACAGTCTAGGAAAAAAAAGAAATGTGTATTACTGTACAAAATATAACATGATAAATTTCAATACTAATTTATATGAGTAAGTACTGTGGGAACCCAGAGAATGAAGGAAAAACAACCAAATAGAATTGGGGAACATTTTTCCCAAGGATAGGATGGAGGAAGGCCTTGAAGGATTATGCCTTATATTTGCTTAGTGCTTTACAGTTTCCAAAGCGCCTTCATAAATATACTCAATTTAATTCTGAAAGATACCCTAGAGGAGGGCAGCACAGGTATTTCCCCCCAAATTTGTAGATGACAAAGCACACAAGATAGCATTCATTATCTTAACGAAGGATAACCAGGTAGCATGGCTAAGACTGAAATGTGGTTCTTTTAACTCTCAAGTCTGTAGTATTTCCTCTAAACCATGTAATATTCTGGGCAGAAGAGAATACCTTAAATAAAAACATTGAGGCTTGCATGTGCCAGGTGTTTTTAAAGAATGTCATATAACTATTTGCCTAGAATATCGAACAAATGGTAAGAGATGAAGCTAGAAAGGTAAGTTGAAACCTGACAAAGAAACTGTAATTTCAGAGTATTCAAATTCTACACTAAGAAGTTTGAACTTTTAAGAGCTTTAAACTAGAGAGACAACATCTGCTAGGAGAAAAATCCTAATGGGTCTAAAGTGGCTTACCATAGAGTAAAAGGCATCAAGATTGGAAAAGGAGAAGACAGACTGTATTGATTTGCAGAAGACATGATAATCTATGTAAAAAGTCCCATAGAATCTATTAAGCTACTAGAACTATTTAAATGAGTTTAGCAAGGTTGCAGAATACAAGATCAATATAACAAAATCAGTTGTAGTTCTGTATAGAAACGATGACTATTCAGAAATTGAAATTTAAAATACCATTTACAATTGCATAAAAATATGAAATACAGATAAAACTGATAAAAGATTTGCAAGACCTGTTTATTGAAAGTTACAAAGTTTTATTGAGAAAAATTGAAGTCCGAAATAAATGGAAAGATATATAGTGTTCATGGATTGGAAGATTCAGTATTGATAAGAAGTCAGTTCTTCTCTTAAGTCCTGTGTAAACAAATTTTTTAGAAAAAGATAAGAAGTCTGTTCTTCTCAAATTCTTACACAGACTCAAAGCAATTTACATCAAAACTTTAACAGGCAGCCAGGTGCTGTGATCCACATCTGTAACCCTAACACTTTGGGAGACCAAAATGGGAAGATTGCGTGAGACCAGGAGTTCGAGATCAACCCGGGCAGCAAAGCAAGACCTCATCTCTACAACAACAACAAAAATCTCAGCAGGCTTTGTTTTTTTTTTTTGTTTCTTTTTGTTTTTGTAGCAAATGACGAGATGATTCAAAAGCAAAACAACTTTGAAAAGGGAACAAAGTTGGAAATCTTTTAGTACCTGAATTTAAGGCTTATTATAAAAGTTACAGCAGTCAAAACAGTTGTGATATTAGCATCTAGACAGGAAAATAGATCAATGGAACAGAGTAGGTAAATAGATTCATGCTACGTGTGTTTGTGTGTGTGTGTGTGTGTGTGTGTGTATAAACAACAGATTTTCGACAGAGGTGCAAAAGCAACTCAGTGGAAAAAGAACAGTCTTTTCAGCAAATGGTATTGGAACAATGGATATTCATATGCAAAAAAATGAATTTCAATTTGTTCCTTGCAACATATACACAGATTAACTCAAAATAGGTAAAATATGATGTCAAATGTGAACCTATAACTGTAGAATTTCTAGAAGAAAACAGAGAAAATCTTAACAACTTCGGGTTACTCAAAGTTTTTCAGTTTCTTAGCTATGACAATCTAATAAATAGTGTTTCTTTCTTTCTTTCTTTTTTTTTTTTGAGACAGAGTTTCGCTCTTGTTGCCCAGGCTGGAGTGCAATGGCGTGATCTTGGCTCACTGCAACCTCCTTCCTGGTTCAAGCGATTCTCCTGCCTCCACCTCCCGAGTAGCTGGGACCACAGGCATGTGCCACCATGCCTGGCTAATTTTGTATTTTTACTAGAGACAGGGTTTTTCCATGTTGGTCAGACTGGTCTCAAACTCCCGACCTCAGGTGATCTGCCCCCCTCGGCCTTCCAAAGTGCTGAGATTACAGGCATGAGCCACCGTGCCCAGCCTAGTGTTTCTTTTTGAGGAAAACAGTTCTGTAAGTTATTGTGGTAATGATTCTGTAACTCTTTGAATATTCTAAAATGCATTTAATTGTGTACTGTAAATGGAAGGATTATGTGGAATGTGAATTATATCTCCATAAGCCATTGTTAAAAAAGTTAAAACATGTACCTACCATGTGACTCAGCCATTCCACTCTTAGGTATTTACACAAGAGAATTGAAAACATATGTCCGTATGAAGACAAATGTTCATAGCAGCTTTATTTGTAATAGCCAAAAACTAGAAAAAACTTTAATGTCTACCAACATTTGAAAGGATAAACAAATTGTGGTATATTCATATGATATAATATTACTTAGCAATAAAAAAAGAACAAACTGTTCTTACTGTATGGATGCCTTGAGTGGAAAAAGGCAGACAAAAAGGATACATATAGTATGATTTTATTTATATACAATTTTAGAAAATGTAAACTAATATATAGGACAGAAAACAGGCCAGTGTTTTCGTAGAGATGGCAGGGAAGGTCATGGGGAGGGGCAAGCTGGAGGACTTATGGTGGAACAAGAGGAAACTTTTGGGGGTGATGGAAGTGTTGGCTATCTTGATTGTGGTGATTTTTCACAGGTATATACATATGTCAAAACATCAAATTTAACACCTTAAACATGAAATTTATATTAATGATATCTGAGAAAGCAGTTTTTAAAAATATGAATGGATTCAACATGATTTTAATAGATATATAACACTGTCAAGTCTGTGTTTTAGAAAGGTATGGAAAATGGATTGGAGAACAGAGACACAACTACCATATTCATTTATTCAGTGAGTTAAGTGATTTCTACTATGCTAGACAGTGGGGGTCAATAAAGCTCACGGACAAATGGAAGAGAGATATGTAAATAAGTCATTATTTACATATAAATAATTTATCTGTAGTAAGTACATATACTTATGTATTAGCTACATAATTAAGTGTCATTATGCATATATAATGTATATAATGCTAATTATGACAGTTATGTATGAAATAACTCTGGCTTGGGTTGGGGGAAGTTAGAATCTTGAAGGATGAGTAAAAATCATAATAATCTTGAGTGTGAAATGAAAAAAAGCCTGAAGTAGGGCAGTGAGGGTGGGTTGACAAATTAGAAGAGTCTTTAATGACAAATTCAGTAGTTTGGATGTGGAAGTGTAAAAGAGGTAAGAGCCAAAGATTTTTTATTTAGAATGACTAAATTTTTGGTGGTGTGAATAATAGAGGAATTTAGGAGAAGGAGGGGATGGAGGAGAAAAGTTCAGTTTTAAAGTTGACTTGGAAGTTCCCATGGGACATCCACTTGAAGATATCTTGCAAGTAGTTGAAAGTATAGGCATGTTGCTTCGGGAAGAAGTCAGCACTGAGATCATAGCTCTTGGATTCATTATTGCACAGAGGACTGATCAAACTATAGGAGTAAGTGGGCTTATTCAGGAAGGGTATAGAATGAGGAAAGAAAGCCAGTGATGAAACTTGAGGCTGTCCTTAGTGTTTAAGGAACAAGGACCAAGAAGCAGAGGGAGAAACACTGTGAGGATGGAGGATGTCACACTGTAGGATGAAAATGTCTGGGAGAAGCAATGAAATTGATAAATCACCTGACATGTTTACCAGTTGGAAAATAGTATTCAGAGAAGATCTTATTGTTCTGTTAGAGAGTTCAAAAAAACTGTGTAACAGGAACAGAAAAAAGTAAGCCAAAAACAAAAAAAGTAATGATTATAGGAGAATAAAAAGTTTACAAAAAAGGAAATTTAATCAGCAGCATGCTGCATGACTCAGATGTGAAATATTTAAACATAATCATAATATTATAAACATTAAATAAATTTAAATAAAGATTAAGCTATAACAGTATTGGTAGAGTAAGAGGCTACAGTGAAAGAGAGGTCAATCTTCATTTCCCATAGCCAAAAGCCAGTAATGTCTAAAATTGAAAAAATTCAAGAAAAAGCAGTATAAATATGTTATTCAGAAATATAAATGGTGATATAGAAGAAACCAGGAAGAATGGCAGGTCAGGAGTGAAAATCAGGGCATAAGGAGCCATGAGATAGGGGAGGATTGTTTTCCCTCATTAGCCATATATAATGAATGCTATTTGTCTTTGTAAAATATTTTCATGTAACTTGGATAAAATTAAAATTAAAAAGACAACTTGCCAGTCACTGGAAATAGTAGCTGTTAATTTGTAGAAAATGCCTTAGCTGTTTAGTTAGATGGGCTTAATTCTGAAAATGAGAATACTATACAATAGTTTTCATCTCTTTCCATTGTAAATGTGTGAATTTCTAAGCACTGTTAATCCTTCTTTTTATTTCCGTAGGTTGATGAAAAAACCGTAGGAGAACCTGGTTGGC
Source organism: Homo sapiens (assembly GCF_000001405.40). Classification (NCBI taxonomy): domain Eukaryota; kingdom Metazoa; phylum Chordata; class Mammalia; order Primates; family Hominidae; genus Homo; species Homo sapiens. The sequence continues at coordinate 24,261,708 of NC_000002.12, read as the reverse complement.
TTTATGGTAGTTTTCAAGGAAATTTTGGCTGGTTTCCATGCAATTATGTAGAAAAAATGCCATCAAGTGAAAATGAAAAAGCTGTATCTCCAAAGAAGGCCTTACTTCCTCCTACAGTTTCTTTATCTGCTACCTCAACTTCCTCTGAGTAAGTTTTTAGCTAACAGTAAAGTTTATATAGATCTGCAAATGTGTAAATACCTAATATATAATGGTGTCAGCCTACTACTTCATCATAGTGTAATCCGGGTTGTACTCTTCAAGACTACTTTTTGTTCCAGATTTAATACTGAAATTTAGTAAGTGAAAACATGGGTCAGTAGTTTGTTAATAATTATTTCTTTTCCCACAAATTGTGTGTAAGCACAGTGTATATAATATGTAAGTTGATAAATTGGTAGTACTTCATTAAGTTCTAAACAAATAAATATACTTATATCAAAGTGTTATATTTGCAGACCACTTTCTTCAAATCAACCAGCATCAGTGACTGATTATCAAAATGTATCTTTTTCAAACCTAACTGTAAATACATCATGGCAGAAAAAATCAGCCTTCACTCGAACTGTGTCCCCTGGATCTGTATCACCTATTCATGGACAGGTATGTTGTCTGTTATTTTTGTGGGCTTTATTCTTTGAATTTGCTCCTGATTAAAATAGAATGAAAATTATATACAAAGGACCATTCACTCATTTAACCAGAGTTTGTAGCATTCAGTTTCTTTCTTATTCACATGTGATGTGAAGTTGAAGAAATGACTATTACTTAGAGGTTTCTCAACAATTTTTTTTTTTTTTTTTTTGAGACGGAGCCTCACTCTGTTGCCCAGGCTGGAGTGCAATGGTGCAGTCTCGGCTCACTGCAACCTCCGGCTCCCTGGTTGAAGAGATTCTCCTGACTCAGCCTCCTGAGTAGCTGGGATTACAGGTGCCTGCCACCATGCCTAATTTTTGTATTTTTAGTAGAGACGGGGTTTCACCATGTTAGCCAGGCTGGCCTCGAACTCCTGACCTCAGGTGATCCACCTGCCTTGGCGTCCCAAAATGTTGGGATTACAGGCGTGAGCCACTGCGCCCGGCCTAGGTTTCTCAACAATTCTTTTCCATAATACCAAGTTGCTAGCAGCTAAGGTTTCTAAGCTCAAAATGTTATTTTTACAAATCTCATGATATATTGTTCTTGATTTGTAGTTATTATAATAAGAAGATGAGAGACTTGGGCTTGACGGTTTTTTTTTTTTTTTCTTAAAGTTATTTGGGAACGTTAGAACTTTTTAACGTATATTTAGCCTCTGATTTAGATATAACTATTGCAATAGGGTTACATTAACATTATTTTTTTAAATTGCAGACTTCATCAGAATAAAGTCCAAAGTCCTCCAGATTTCACCTTCACTCAAAAAATGCCATGGCCATAGGTTCCAGGCATTTTATTATGTGCTAGAAATTTAAGGAAAAAATAAGTCAAAAAATACCTGACATTGACACCAGGCACAGTGACTCAGTGCCTATAATCCCAGCTCTTTGGGAGTCCAAGATGGGAGGATTGCTTGAGGCCAGGAGTTCAAGATCAACCTGGGCAATACAGCAAGACCTCATCTCTACAAAAAATTTAAAAATTAGCCGGGCATAGTGGCATGTGCCTGTAGTACTAGCTACTTGGGAGGTTGAGGTGGGAGGATCACTTTAGACCAGGAGTTTGAGGCACAATTAATTATGATCATATCACTGTACTCCAGCCTGGGCAATAGAGTGAGCCCCGTCTCTAAAACAATTTTTAAAAACCAGAAACTCACCATTCAGTAGATCATAATCTAATGAACATGACAGACATATAAATAACTGTAAAGCATGAGAAATGCTGTATTAAAGATATCTACAAGGTCTGTAGGGGGTATATATAGAAGAGATCATCTTACTCAATTGGTGAGAATTGGAGCAGCCTTCACAAAGGGCAAGGTATTTGAGTAGGGTCTTCAAAGATAAGATTTCACCCAACAAAGAAGGAAAGTTATTCCCATGAAAGAACAATTTGGGGAAAGTCACCAAGGCATGTTAACACAAGATATTTGCAGGAAACAAGCATTGTTAATAATATGGCTGGAATACAGGATTCATGGAGAAAGGGTTAAGCGAAGTTGGAGAGAGAGGTTGAGGTTTATTTGGGAAGCATTTAATACCGTGCTAGGCAACTTGGTAGTGGAAAGTCCCTGAGGATTTTTAAGAGTGGAGTTATTGTGTATGTTTTAGAAAGATAATTCTGGCACTAACATAAAGTCTGGATTAGCAGAAGAAAACAACCAGTTAAGGAAGGATATTACAATAGCTAAATAACAAGAGATGATGGTTTGAACAAGTGCTATGGTAATTAAGATATAAGAAAGAGGAGATAGATTTAGAAGATTATTAGGAAATGATATTAAATAGATAATCCATTGAATGTGGAGAGTGAGGAAGAAATAGGAGTTAAAGATAATTCTTCAGTCTTTAGCGTGAGCAACCAAAAGGATAGTAGTATCCTTGTCTTTGGTAGACAGTGCAGGAGGAATGGGTTTGGTAGGTTCTAAAAATGATTATGTTTCAGCCATGCTAAGTTTAAGCTATGTGTATTAGGGACAGCTTGGTAGAAACACCCAGTAGGCAGTTTGATATACAAGTCTGGAGATCAGGAGATAAAATTACACTGAAAATATAGGTTTGAGAAGTCATAGGCATAATTAAGAGTATTTAGGGAAGTCCTGTGGAACAGTAAGGGAAAAGGGTTGGACAAAAGAGGAGCCATCAATCACCAGAGAGTCAGCTTCAGGAACTACAAGGCTTGATGTTAGCTGTTTAGAGATCAAGAGGAATAAGGGTTTGGAAGAAGCATTTGGCTTTGATGTTATTATTAATAACCTTGTCTGGAAGAGGTTCAGTAGTGTGATGAGTGCTGAACCTAAATTAGAAGTGATCAAGGAGTGAAATTGGAAAAAAAGTTTAAGACTATCATTTAAGGAATTCAGAAGTAGAAGCAAGTAGAGAAGTAGATTGAAGAGAAGGACTTAAATATTTTTAGAAAATGAAAGGGTATAATAGAAGACTTGGAGAATAAGTGAAGAGTTTAGCCTTATTAAAGGAACAAAACACTCCTTCCTTTGAGAGAGGAGGGAAAGAAAGAAGAATGAATAGAATAGAATAGGAGGAAGTTAAGAGAAAAGCAGAGAAACAGAGGGAGCCAAGCATGCCAATTTCCTTCCCTAGTGGAGTAAACAGAATTACATTGCAAGCTGGAAGAGAAAAAAGATTTACAGTAACATTCCTTTTTCATTTGTTCCATGATATGTATTTCATGGATGTGTGAATACATTTCTTGAGTACACATTATTTACCTTCTCTACCAGTGATGTGATGAGGTTTCTTTGAATGGTGGGTTTTCAGTCTGTCTTAACAGAAGGCTAGTCACATAGTTGTCTATCATGTATAATTTAAAGTCAGTTAGTAGACTAAGGTTATCTTAAGTCACCACGACACAAAACTGGTCTGCTGTTTGAACAGTAAGTATGTTATATACACAGAAACAGAAATCATAGTTACCATTGCCTTTTAAAAATTTTTGGTGGTTTTGTATTCATAGGGACAAGTGGTAGAAAACTTAAAAGCACAGGCCCTTTGTTCCTGGACTGCAAAGAAAGATAACCACTTGAACTTCTCAAAACATGACATTATTACTGTCTTGGAGCAGCAAGAAAATTGGTGGTTTGGGGAGGTGCATGGAGGAAGAGGATGGTTTCCCAAATCTTATGTCAAGATCATTCCTGGGAGTGAAGTAAAACGGGAAGAGTAAGCATCTTTATGTGTTTTCATGAGATGTGGATGTTGGTATTTTCACTAATGAGTCAGCCATGGTCTGATTGAGTGTATAATAAAATAACAATTTTATACTTGAGTTTGAATATCAGAAAGGTAATTCTGGCCGGCCGTGGTGGCTCACACCTGTAATCCCAGCATTTTGGGAAGCCAAGGCAGGCAGATCACTTGAGCCCAGGGGTTTGAGACCAGCCTGGGTGACGTGGTGAAACCCTGTCTCTACAAAAAATACAAAAATTAGCCGGGCATGGTGGTACATGCCTGTAGTCCCAGCTACTTGGGAGGCTAAGGCAGGAGAATCTCTTGAGCCCAGGAGGCAGAGGTTGCAGTGAGCCAAGATGACGCCATTGCACTCTAGCCTGGGTGACAGAGTGATACCCCGTATTAAAAAAAAAAAGAAAAAAGAAAGGTAATTCTTAGGATGAAAAAAGCATACCTCAGGTATTTGTTTCAGTTTAGAATATCTTTCATTCTAGTTATTTCAGATTTCATAAAATTTTCAAGCTACTCAAAATTATAGATCTGTTGCTTTTTTTGTTTTTGAGACAGGGTCTCACTCTGTTGCCTAGGCTAGAGTGCAGTGGTGGATCATGGCTCACTGCAGCCTCGACCACCCAGCCTTAAGCGATCCTCCCACCTCAGCTTCCCGGCTAGCTGGGACCACAGGTGCACGCTACCATGCCTGGCTTATTTTTAAATTATTTGTAGAGGTGGGGTTTTGCTGTGTTACCCCAGGCTGTGTTCTCAAACTCCTGGGCTCAAGCGATCTTCCTGCCTCCACCTCCCAAAGTGCTGGAATTACAGGTGTGAGCCACCTCACCTGGCCACTTCTTTGTACCATAAATCAGTTAGAAAAGTTACTTTTCATTTTCTTTCAAGCATTTCTCCCCTGTTTACTATAAATTGTCAATATTTAAGTAACTCTTTACTGAGGGCCTCCTCTTTGCCAAATTGGGGCATTCCCATTTCTGAGTCTCCAAGATTCCCTGAATATAACTTCTCTTATTGCTTATAGCACTCTGCATTATAGTTACTGATTTTTTTAAACCAATGTCCCTTATTAGATCATAAGCTCAATGAGGCTGGGATGCATGTCTTTTTTTTTATTTGTTCATTTTTCAGTTTCTTCATGCCTGTTCTAATCCTCATGCATAGTAGCTGCTCAATCATATTAGCTGAGTGAATGAAGAGAGGCGTGAATGAATGAACAATTGAATGAATTTTCAAATGAAAAAAGCTAAAAACTAGATAGGTCTCTGACCTTTATTTCCTACTCTGTAGGGAGTCAAGTTGTCGAATATAATAATACAAGGAAATAAGTACTATAATATAGCTATGGGTAACTGTCTCTTGTGTTTTATATGGAAGTTGGTAGAAAAGCAGTCTGATTTGATGAAAAGATGCTGGTCTTTTGCAATCAAGAGGCTTGAGTTTTGGCTCTGCTATTTTTGCCAGGCTGTAAGGAATAACCTACTTAATCTTCAGTTTTCTAATTGACTGAATGAAAAGGTTAAGCCAAATAATCTTTAAAGACCCTTTCACTGCTGAGTTTCTGTGTTTCTGGAAGGTAGTGCTGTTTCTAAAAATTTGCTTTTCAGCCTGACATGGAATTTTGGATTGATTGATTGATTGATTTTGAGATGGAGTCTCGCTCTTTCGGCCAGGCTGGAGCGCAGTGGCGCAATCATGGCTCACTGCAACCTCCACCTCCTGGGTTTAAGCAATTCTCCTGCCTCAGCCTCCCAAGTAGCTGGGATTACAGGCATCCACCACCATGCCCGGCTAATTTTTGTTTTTTTTTGTTTTTGAGATGGAATTTCGCTTTTGTTGCCCAGGCTGGAGTGCAATGGCCCGATCTCAGCTCACCACAACCTCCACCTCCCGGGTTCAAGCGATTCTCCTGCCTCAGCCTCCTGAGTAGCTGGGATTACTGGCATGTGCAACCATGCCCGGCTAAATTTTTTTGTATTTTTAGCAGAGACGGGGTTTCTCCATGTTGGTCAGGCTGGTCTCAAACTCCCGACCTCAGGTGATCTGCCTGCCTTGGCCTCCCAAAGTGCTGGGATTACAGGCATGAGCCTAATTTTTGTATTTTTAGTAGAGACAGGGTTTCACTACGTTGGCCAGGCTGGTCTCGAACTCCTGACCTCAGGTGATCTGCCTGCCTTGGCCTCCCAAAGTGCTAGGATTACAGGCGTGAGCCACCATGCCCAGCCCTTTTTATTTATTTTTCAAGACAGAGTCTCACTCTGTAGCCCAGGCTGGAATGCAGTGGCACAATCTCAGCTCACTGCAACTTCTACCTCCTGTGTTCAAGCGATTCTCCTGCTTCAACCTCCCAAGTAACTGGGATTACAGGAATGCACCACCACACCGGGCTAATTTTTGTATTTTAGTAGAGACAAGGTTTTGCCATGTTGGCCAGGCTGGTCTCAAACTCCTGACCTCAGTTGATCTGCCCGCCTCGGTCTCCCAAAGTGCTGGGATTACAGGTGTTTGCCACCACACCTGGCCGAATTTTGGATTTAGAAGAATATAATAACAGTAACAACAACCATATATAGCTGGCATTTGTATGCATGCACTGTGCTAGGCCCTTTATAGACAATTCCTTTATAGAAATTGTCTTATTTTATGTCCATAACATTTACAGAGAAGAAAACTTAAGCAAAAACAGATTGTTTCAGTGTTTTAGAGGGCATTTCTTCTAACTATGCATTCAGTTACTAGTGTTTTCTAACAGATAAGGCATATAACTTGAAAACCTGCAGTAATGGAGAATTTAGCATTAAACAAGACAGTCCATTCAGTTGTGACCAGTAGTTGTAATAAGGTTCCCCTTCTGTTTATTTAAAAACTGCCTCACAGTGTAATTTACTCACAGGTCCTAGGGAGGCCTGGTGCATCCCACAGGTGTCTAGTTAAACAGGACAGTCTTCTAGATTTTTGAAAACAGATTCCTGGGTTAAAATGGAAATTAATGTTATAGCTGTTCTGAGATAATAAAAACAAAGTTTTATTATTTTTATTTTTTTAATGTAGTGCATTCTAAACAAATAATAAAATGTATATATTGCCTTTATTTTTTCCTACACTAAACTAAGCCCTATATGTGCTTACCACTTAACAATTTGTGGGTGTCTTTTAAGTTTCTTTAGAAAGGCGAAATATCTCACATTTGAAAAACTATTTGTAAATCATATTGAAATTTTAAAAATATATTTAAAAATGTAGAAGTTTATAATTAGGCTGTTCTTAATCCTGCAGGATGTTGTGTATAAGTCTTCCCAGTTCTGTGTACTAAGACTATATTTAATTTGAGAAAGCCCTAAAAAATGCACTACTAAAACCTGCTGTGCATCAAATCACCTTTCTTATTTTTGCTTGTATTTGTTTGTTTGTTTGTTTGTTTGTTTATATATTTGGTAGACCAGAAGCTTTGTATGCAGCTGTAAATAAGAAACCTACCTCGGCAGCCTATTCAGTTGGAGAAGGTAAGCTTTTGGCAATTTGTAAATTAGATGGTAATCAATTTAGCTCTTGACTAACTACCTGACTTCACATAGTTGCTGTTCTTCACATAGTTGCATATTCTCCCCATTTCTGTGTCTGCAGTATTAAAGTGAGATTAGGAAAACCTGCCCCTATCTATTTCACATGAATATTGAGAATATAGAAAAAATATGGGTGAAAATACTTGGCACTTTAGAAAGGCAGTGCTATGAAAATTCAGCATAGACTGGTTTGATGAATAACATCATAAATAAAAAGTGTTGCAATTATTGATTATAGATGTTTAGGAGGTAAGGAAATTTCAATACATTTCATTGCTTATACATTTTAATTACAATGTACCATATGAATCATTAAGGAGGACCAAGGTATACTTTATCATAAGTATTGCAAAGAATTTTTTTCTATATCCCTTTGGGTTGTTTGATTAGTAAATTATTTTGATTTTGTTAATGTGTTGAAAAATGAAAGATTACCCTAATTTCAGAGGATATTTTTATTTAATAGTTACATACATTTATAAATGAAATGTATAAGTCCATTATAAAGTTAGTTGAATAGTTGAGGTACATTTTATGTTTTGCTAAAAATATCAGTTTAATGTTAAACAATTTATTCAGTATCTGTTACGTTGAAGATTCTATGCTAGAGCCTGGAAAATACAAGGATGAATAAAAGTTTCCAAAGTGCTCACAATAGAATGGAGCATACAGTTGTGATAAATTCTTTAATGAGCGAACAAAACCAATTTAGAGTAGGACATATGAATCCACAGAGATGGCAGTGTTGCATCATCCTAAACAATGAGTAGGATCTAGCAGAGTGACAAAGGATGAGAATGCACTTCTAGACAGAGGGAATGGCATGAGCCAAGGAACGGGGGAACGTCATGTCACCAGTGAAGCTGAATCATAGGTGTACTGTGGAATGAGTGCTCTGAGCTGAGCCTAGGAAAGTAGTGAGGAGCATGTTGGAAAGGACCCGACTTTTATTGCAGCGTACCTAAACCTTGTAATCACTTTGAATTTTGTTAAATTAATTGAGTAATACTGGGAATGCGAATAGTAAATAGGTTGTAGGTGGTGTTTCTCATCGTCTCAAGTTTATGATATTAAGATCAAATTCCATGTTGGCCAAATATAAATAAAACTAGAAAGAAAGAAAAAGACTTAGAAAACCAAGTCACCAACTGTTTCTTCTAAGCAGTGACAATCACAGAAACAAAAATCAAAGGCGATATAAAAATTTAGATATTTCCCTTGAGGTCATTTGTTAACAACTATTTATCGAGCGTCTACTCCAAGTCAAGCACTGTGCTAGGAGCTGGGTCATCAGGATGGAGCTTGGCTTCTAGTGCTGCTGTCTTCTGGGTATTGAGTGTTTCCATAACTGTGTACTTAAAAGAATTAAAGAGAAAATAATATAGCAGATTAAACTATTTCTGGTATAAAAAAGTTAAAAAATATATTTTCCTATCTTGACTCCATTATCTGAATAACTGAGTGACTTAATCTCACTAAGCCTCAGTGTATTTATCTATAGAGATACTATTATCTGTTTGTAGTTTTGGGTAATTCTTTGTGATAAAAAAATAAACAATTGGGAATAAAAGAAACTCTAAAGTTTTATGTTAAGTCAAATAACTTTTTTCTAAGGAATTATTAAATAATTGCTTCGTTCCTTTTTCTACCTTTAGATCTTTTTATGTTAGGTTTCCTGAAGGCACAAGGTCTTTTACAGCAAACTTATACAATGTCTTGGAGAATAACCTAATTTCTTTTTCACTTCTGTAATCTTAAAACCAGAATCTACTTCTTTTTGCTTTGTTCCCTACAGAATATATTGCACTTTATCCATATTCAAGTGTGGAACCTGGAGATTTGACTTTCACAGAAGGTGAAGAAATATTGGTGACCCAGAAAGATGGAGAGTGGTGGACAGGAAGTATTGGAGATAGAAGTGGAATTTTTCCATCAAACTATGTCAAACCAAAGGATCAAGAGGTATTTTGATATTAAAATCAACCCATTCTGGTTAATCAGGTTTATACTTAAATTATTTTGGTATTAAAAATAAAATCAACCCATTCTTGTTAATCAAGATTTATACTTAGAGATCATGTTTATGGTTTTGATCAGGTTGCTTTGGTTACAAAGAAACTGTTCACAGTAGCTCCGGTAAAATAGGGTTTATTATATGGCTCCAGTTAGATAAAGGGGGCAAGATTTCATGAAATTCTAAGAACAAGAGTTGTAGGGTAGGGTTGAGCTTCATGATAACTGCTAGGAAGTAGATCTGGATTCAGAGAAACACAAAAAGGACCACCTTGAAGTAGTTCGCCAATTTTCACTTTAAGACTGTAACATTAATGTGACTCAGCTTACATGAGCTCCTGCCTCATTTCATCCACCACCAGTATGGTATAGTGCAGAAGTTCTCTTTTTGGTTTCAGGAACTTTACAGTCTTAAAAATTATTGAGGAACCCCATAGGCTTTTTTAAAGTATGTTCAGTATAGCTAATGATATTTACCGTATCAGAAATTTGAAAAGCGAAATTATATATTTATTCATTTTAAAATAACAATAATTAAATCCATTACATGGTAACATAAATAACGTGCTTTTATGAAAAACAGCCGTATTTATCATGAAAACAAAGTTTAGCAAGACACACACACGTATATATACGTATACATACATATGTATGTGTATATGTATATGTGTGTGTGTATATATATATACACATATATATACACATATATATACACATATATATACACATATATATACACATATATATACACATATATATACACATATATATACACATATATATACACATATATATACACATATATATACACATATATATACACATATATATACACATATATACACATATATATACACACATATATATACACATATATATACACACATATATATATACACATATATATACACATACATATATACACACACACACACACACACACACATATATATATATATATATATTTTATTTTTTTTTTTTTTTGAGATGGAGTTTAGTTCTGTTGCCCAAGCTGGATCTCGGCTCACTACAGCTCCGCCTCCCAGGTTCAAGCAATTCTCGTGCCTTAGCCCCTTGAATAGCTGGGATTACAGCCATCCGCTACCATGCCTGGCTAATTTTTGTATTTTTAGTGGAGGCGGGGTTTTACCATGTTGGTCAGGCTGGTCTTGAACTCCCAACCTCAAGTGATCTGCCTGCCTCAGCCTCCCAAAGTGCTGGGATTACAGGCATGAGCCACCACACCCAGCTAATTTTTGTATTTTCAGTAGAGACGGGGTTTCACCATATTGGCCAGGCTGGTCTTGAACTCCTGACCTCCAGTGATCCACCTGCCTTGGCCTCCCAAAGTGCTGGGATTACAGGCTGTTTTATATTTTTGCAAATCTCTTTAGTCTGACTTAATTAAGTCAGCTACTTTCTCATGTCTGTTTCTGTATTCAGTCGGTGACATTTTTTTTTTCGGTTGAAGTATAAAAAAATTCATCCTCACACATACATGAGAGAAAATGAAGAAGTATTTTAATAGCATTTGCAGATATCTACCAATGTTCTTTTTTATTCTACCACACTAAAACTTGACAAATGCTGAATCGTTATAGGTTAGTTGCAACATGGAATCTGAAGCCCTATCGGTGAACAGTTCTTACTGTTACATTAAAATTCACTAGTCTGTTTTGCATGTTGAGTGGATCTTTTACCCGTGCATGATGTGATAACATTATTTGTTGTTTATTTGGAAAATATTGAATCACTGAGTTATGCAGATATTCCCTGTGTGGACACATTTCATTACACAGTATCTGAAAAATCGTATGTGTTAATACCACCACTCATCAGAAAAGTTTTTCAATACTAGGAAACTGTCAGACTCATAGTGGTAGGTACAAATTTTCTAAAATTTTAATTTTCCCTGGAAATCTTGAATTTTATCATTGGCAAAAAATCCTGCCAGCTGTTTTCCTTGAAGGGACAGGCTTACTTCATTTTTAAGAAAATGTTCGCTAAATCCCAAGTCTAAATAGTTTTTCTGTTGGTTCTTTGAAGTAAAAATGTTGTTCCATGAAAAACCTAGTTGAGTGGACAATTTAGTCACACAAATACTTTCCTTAAGACAACCGTCATACTTTAGTATGCAGCACAAATGTTTTAGGCACACTTCTGTTTAGTCACACAGAACTTTTAAAAGGTATGGACTTGAAGATTAAGATTTAATAAAATTTTTGCTGTTTCATTAAAGACATTATTAAGTGAAACTGGCTTTGTTTTACTGTGAGTGCATGGCGGTGAAGAACACTACCATACTTCAGTGTCATTTGGTGCCACTGCCATGATTCACACTAAAGCACCAATGATTTTACCCACCACTGTAAATGTCAACACAGTGAAGAAGACAAATAATGTCTTAGTATTTTTATGAAGATAGTTTTTATCCCACAGACCCCTGAAAGAGGCTCAAGGACTATTTCCAGGTTCTACAAACCACATGCTGAGAGCCATTGGTGTAGTAGAATCAGACTGCCTGGGTTGACTCTTAGCTGTAACACTTAGAGCCTGGGTGACCTTGGACAAGTTACTGTACCTTTCTGTGCCTCAGTTTCCTTCTCTGTAAAATGGGGATAATCATAATTACTTAATAGTGTTATTGTGAAAATTAAATAGCAGAATATATGGAACCTCTTAGAGCAGTGTCTGTTATACAGTACTCAGAAAATGTTAGCTTTTAACTACCATCCACTCTGCTTAATACTTGTACTGCAGCTATGTTCACTAACAGAACAAAATTCTTTTTAATCCCATCCCTTTTGTTGTTCAAATTCCTATAAAGAGGAAATGTGGTTGGGCCAGTTTATCCTTTAAAGTGAAACAGAAGTAATAGTTGCTACACAGGATAGGGATTTTTTGTTCTTAGGTCAGATTCAGTCAGTTTGGGGGGAGGATGGTAAAATAAATAAAAATAAAAACATTGTCTCCTGTTCATCAAGATCCATAGATAAGTCAGGATCCCTTAGAGAAAGCAGGAGCAAAATAACGTATACCTTGACATATCCAGGACACATATGTTGTGCATAGTGGGCATTGGTGCTAACGCCATTGATAAATGGAGTGCATTTGGCCTGGAGGGTCATGTTTAATATTTAGGTTTCAGAAAACGAGCTCTTCCTGTTGAGTCAATGGTTGACGATGACAGCCACTCGTATATAATGTATTACATTAGCAGACCAGATCTCCTCATAAGTGTTGGATTTTTCACTTATTTGTTAATACTGCATGAGGTTCATTGTCATTTTCATCTTCATTTAAAGAGAAAAGAATCCTGGGAATTTGAAATCTCTAATTCCCATTAACCTTTATACTTTTACATTTGGATTGTTGGAAATAATAAAACAACACGGTATCTTTTCCTTGTAGAGTTTTGGGAGTGCTAGCAAGTCTGGAGCATCAAATAAAAAACCTGGTACGTATAGTAGTGATCTTAAAAAATTACTAACGTGTTTGCTCTGTCGCAATCTTGAATTCATAGTTTCTTCTTTGTCTTTTCAGAGATTGCTCAGGTAACTTCAGCATATGTTGCTTCTGGTTCTGAACAACTTAGCCTTGCACCAGGACAGTTAATATTAATTCTAAAGAAAAATACAAGTGGGTGGTGGCAAGGAGAGTTACAGGTAATATTCTTTAAATAGCATCTATAAATTTTATTATAAAAGTACTGCATGCTCCATAAAAAAGATAAAATTAATAAAAATTTTTAGATCACCCATAATCATTCCACTTAGAGGTAATCAATATCAATATTTTACTGCATTATATTTCCTTTAGTCTCTTGTGTGTACATTTTTAGCACAGTTGAGTTGATGTTATAAGTAACAATTTAAGGAATAATTTTCTCCAAAGACATAATTGTTTTCCAATAATGCATTCCTTTATAATTCACAGATCATGTTCTTAAAGAAACAGCATCATCTTTCCCTGGGATAGTCCCAGGCTTGCAGTATAGCCTCTAGGAGAAAGACATAATCTAGATGGTGTGCTGAGAAAATACTACTAATTGGGCTGTCCGCTAGTGGTCTTAGGTTTTTGAAACAGCAGTGCAATTAAAGACAATACAGACATAGATGAACCTTTTTTTTTTCCCTAAAACGTTAATAGATGGTTATTGCATATGTTTTGATACAGGAAAAGGGTTCTTCTCTCACTTCTATTATTTCCTTACTAGTTAAAACTAAAAAGCATTTTAGGGATTAAAAGATGACAAGAGATATAATAGCTATATTTTTATATGAGTGATATATAATTGTAGTATGGAGGATAAACATAGCTTCATTCTTGCAAATCAGGAGTCTTAGGATTCCTGAAGAAAAATGGGGGTTCAAATTTAATACCTTCTTGAATAACCCCCTGAAATTCCACCTTCTGATTTACTTTGAAGATGGACCGAACTAAGTGGGAAACATGACTCTTTACAAATTTTACTTCTGACCTCCTGATTAATGATTAACAAAGCTCCAAGAAGTATTTGTAGTCGGCTGCACCATTTTAAGGGTTAGGAGAACTCTAGAAATGTCTTTTTAGAATATAAATATTTTTGTGAAATATTCCGAGAACTCTGAGCCTGAAAGACCTCCACATAGACTTCTTCAGATGCTGTTTTCAGCAGTAGTTTGAGATGCATGTTTTAGTGTGTCTTCCAGTTGTTTAATGTTTACTTGAAAGGCTAATGCTGAGTTCGAGGCCCCCAAGATCATGCTCATATTTGAAACCAATTCCAAATTTGGGGGTCTTCAAGACTACTCTCAAGTTCTGTAAGTCACTAGAAGGACTTTACAGAACTCACTACAGCTATTACACTCATGTTGCAGTTTATTGCAATGAAAGGATACAGATTAAAGTCAGCCAAGGGAAGAGACACATGGGGCAGAGTGCAGTAGAGTTCCAAAAACAGAGCTTCCAGTTGTCCTCTCCTGGCAGAGTCATGAACAGTATTAACTCCTCCTGGCAATGATGTGTGACAATACACACAGAGTATTGCCAGTCAGCAAAGCCTTGGTGTGCAGTTTTGACTGGGGTTCCTCACATAGATACAGTTGATTGCCCGTTTTTCTGAACTCAGTCTCCATCCCCTACCAAGGTAGAGCTGATACTGCATGACCCAAAGCACATCACATTGTTAGATTTGGCATGACCCAGTACCCACAGGTAAACTAAGACACTCTGACCAGTCAGGATAGTCCAAGGATTTAGAGATTACTTTCCAGGAGCTGAGGGCAAAAACCAGACCTCTCTTTAGGCAAAATTAAATTATTTACTACACATTTATGGTTTTTCTAATTTTTAAGTTATGTCTCAATGATTGTTTTTAATCTCATCTTTCAATTATGTATTTCTTTTGCTAATTTTTAGGCCAGAGGAAAAAAGCGACAGAAAGGATGGTTTCCTGCCAGTCATGTTAAACTTTTGGGTCCAAGTAGTGAAAGAGCCACACCTGCCTTTCATCCTGGTATGGAAGTGGGTTAATTTGTATTTCATTTTAGAGGAGTTTGTTAAAACTCAGCAACTTCTTAGATTAGCTCAATCTTTGGAAAACATTAAAAATGTGTTCTTTCCTTATGTCTGCTTAAAAGGGACATGCCACTGAGAATTTCCTTTCTGAAAAGTTCAGTGTAGGAACAGCCAGCTTATTCACTGATACTTGAACCACTTCGACTCTTTGAAATCTTTCAATGTGAAATTGTTACACCATCATACTTAAAGTGAAGTACTTCACTTGGATTGTTAACTGCAGTTGGGAAATTCTTGTTTTTGTAAGACCAGGAATAGGGGAAGGAGGGTGAGAAAGAGCAGTTCAAGGGAAATTTTAGCCTAATTTTAATATTTAATATTAAAATAATTTAAATCCTAGGGAGATTACAAATGATTGACCCTTGCAGGAATAATTAATTTGTTTAATGTGTTATTTTGTTATTCTTGTGATAGTATGTCAGGTGATTGCTATGTATGACTATGCAGCAAATAATGAAGATGAGCTCAGTTTCTCCAAGGGACAACTCATTAATGTTATGAACAAAGATGATCCTGATTGGTGGCAAGGAGAGATCAACGGGGTGACTGGTCTCTTTCCTTCAAACTACGTTAAGATGACGACAGACTCAGATCCAAGTCAACAGTGTGAGTAATATTAAATTATTTTTCTCTCACCTAGTGTGAAACTTCAATATACAGCACTGCATTTATTCCTTTTCTGGATTAGATCTTAAACTCAGCACTCACAGCAAATGTAGATTAGTGTTTAAAGTGAGAAGAAACAAAAGGAAACTTTTTACAAGGTCAGAAGTTATACAGCTTTATTTTAAATACTTGCTAGCTCCAGACTTTCGTATTAGACTTAATCTGAGAGTATATAATTTTTCCTATGAGTTCTTTGGTATGACTGCCATCTATACTGCAGCTTCTTTTTACTATCATCCTCTTTTTCAGTGTCCCATGTTCTTTTTTGGTTTAATAAAAAGTAGCTAGTGGCTGGGCGCAATGGCCCACACCCATAATCCCAGCACTTTGGGAGGCCAAGGCACGCAGGATCCCTTAAGCCCAGGAATTGGAGACTAGCCTGGGCAACATGGCGAAACCCCATCTCGACAAAAAATAGCAAAATTAGCTGGGTGTGGTGGCACGTGCTTGTAGTTTCAGCTACTTGGGAGGCTGAGGTGGGAGATCTCTTGAACCCGGGAGGTTAAGAGTGCAGTAAGTCATGATCACACACACTGCACTCCAGCATGGGCAACAAGGTGAAACCCTGTCTCAAGAGAAAAAAAAAAAAAAGTAGCCAGCAATTACCCTATTCACCTATTCAAAATTACTCTTTTAGTGTACAGAAGCCATTACATTTCTAACCTTCTCATTTATTTCTCGCTGTTTACATATCATCCATGTTGGAAGAAAATTAAAAATTAAATATTTGACTGTTGCAAAATTCTTGTCAGGTGATTCTTTAGATAGTCACCTTTTTCCACAAGGGATGTATCAATCAAGGTCTATTTCATTATTTTCAGAACAAGGGTCCAGATCTCGAAGTGTGAAGTTTGGTACTATATAAAATTATCTCTCTGTATTTATCTAGCCGTTCTTTTGGTTGACAGTAAATATAGCATTAGTAATAAATTAGGGAATGAATAGTACTTGGAAATAACTTTTTACCTTTATGAAATGATTGTCACTTTTTCCCACTCTTTTAATTTTTAGTTTTATTTTTAAAATATCTCATGATATATCTCTTATGAAATTTAAAATACTTAGCCTTTCATTTAAATTCAGTTGCTGAGAATATATAAAAGGTAACCCAAACAAAACTCAGATACACTTATGATTCAGTATAAGGATTATGAATTTATACCATATCTATAATTTTGTGCATTCTCACTTTAGAGCTTATAAAGATAGTTCTGACCCTGGGAGAAACCTTCCCTTTACATAAAGCAACTAAGTTTCCCAACTTGGAGATGGGAGGAATCCAGTTTTTTGTGATTTGAATAGTCCCAAAAATATTGGAGGGTTTCAGAAGTGATAAAGAAAATTGTAACTTGGGTTGCCTAATAAATGATCATTTTTAAGCTCTGCTGATGGTTTGGCAGTTCACAATGATTAATTAGAAACCAGTTTATCTAACTAGCTGTGGCATCTTTCTTGGTGTTGAGAATGGAAAAGACTTTTCAGACCTACTGGGTTTGGAAGATCTTTGGCTAGTGATCCCTGAAGGCATGCCGGTGTGTCAGTACATTTGGCTTCTATAGCATCTATGATCTAAAGTGATGGTTTTCTGAATATGTTGTTGTGGTTTGAAACACTTTTTCCAATTAAGCCTCATAGAATAGGGAATATAAAGAACAGATAAAAGCTGTTTGAAAGGAAGGACAGGACCATGGCCCCAGGTCTTATACCTTTCCCCCGCCTATTTTATGAAGGTCCTTTCAGTTTCCCCTCTGCAGATAATTTAAAAATTACTCTAGAGAAATCTACTTCAAGGCAGTAACAGTCTCCTAGAAAAGTAACTTTCCCAGAGAGTTAATTGAGTGACAATTTTTTATTCCAAAAAGAAGCAGCATAGTTTCTGGTTGTCAGTAAATGTTTAATACACTAATGATACAGAAAATAGATTGATATCATCTGTTAGTTATTATTCAAGGACACATTTGTCATGCAAATTACTTTTGCCCAGAAAATGCTTCGTCTGCTATTTTAGTATAGGTGGAACTGGCAGAGCCTTAGTCTGCCTGTAGTTGAGAGAGATACCCAATCTAAACAGCACTATCCAGTAGAATTTTATGCAATACAGAAAACAGTCTATATCTCCACTCTCCAATACAGCGGCCACTAGTCACTTTTGATTATTTGGAGTGTGGCTAATACGACTGAGAAACTCAATTTTTAATTTAATTTAACTTTAATTTTAAGCTAAATAGCCACTTGTGGCCTGTGGCTCCTGTATTAGACAGCATGCCTCTAGAAGACAACCAATTGTAATGCAAGCCCTCCCTGAAATAAAACATGGAAATAGCAGGGCTGGGCACAGTGGCGCACACCTATAATCCCAACACTTTGGGAGGCCGAGGCAGGAAGACTGATCGTCAATATAGGGAGACCTCATCTCTACAGAAAAATTTTTAAAATTAGCTGAGTGTGGTGGCATATCCCTATAGTCCCAGCAGCCTGGGAGGCTGAGGTGGGAGGCTGCAGTGAGCCATGGTCATGCCACTGTACTCCAGCCTGGGTAACAGAGTGAGACCCTGTCTCAAAACAAACAAGGAAATATTGAAAGATTAAAATAAGAAGAAAAAGAATAATCGTCTTTCGGTCATTATTGACCTACGCAATGATTTTATAGCTCCTATGTGTTTCAGGTTTTACTCTTTTGGGGGGTTTTGGATTCTATGTTAACATTCTTCCCACTGTTCATTTAAGAAATTCATCATTTGGTATTACTTGAGTGTCTACTCTGTACTGACTAGGAGTACTGGGAATACAAACAAGACAAGACAATCCATTCTCTGAAGTAGCTTTAGAGGTTAGTGGGGAACAACATTCAGATAAATATAACAATTGCTGCAATGAATATTTATACAAATATGTTTTGGAAAAAGACCCCCTAAATCTTTGTGGAGAAAGAAGGCATGTTGTGAAAGATACAACAGAAGATATTTGAGCTGGTACATGAAGGATAAGTACTAATTGTTTGCTGGAAGGGCAAATGTTGGGGATGCAAGGAGGAACTCATCATTTTCTTGGTCATTTTACATACTGACAGCTGGGAAAACAAAATGTTCAAGAGGTTATTTTATAAAATAAGAGTAGTTTCGAATTTCTCTTTGTTATAAAGTTATTACCAGTAACTTACCTATTACCTTGTTTCTGGCGGGTATATGTGGGTTTTTTTTAGTTTAATCAGATCTAAAAACTGAATACTTTTATTGTTTTGCCTAAATGAATGGCTAAAGGCTTGTCATCTATCCTGGAATAAAAGGGCTCTCAATTCTGTAATTCTAAGGATAAATTCTAAAGAGGTTCCTCTGAGATGGTTTATTGTTTCTATAAAACAACTGTTTAAATTATCTAGGAAAGTGAGGCGTACCGATTTTGTTTACTTGAAGTAATTATTTATCAGAAATTGAAGAATCATAATTGCTTTTTCAAAGAAGATGAAGATTAATGTTAATTGTGTTGGTAGCTATGAACTCACATTGTTTATATAAACCTATAATTTTAATAGGATATGGTTCAGAAAATGCTTAATCCTTAAAGTCAGGAATAGATACGAGATCCTTGTTGTACCTACCCAGCTTTTTATAGATGAATCACCTGTTTGTAGTTCTTGTAATAGTCAATGAAAGCTAGTTAAATTATAGATTACCATTTGTGTTTCTTTGGCCCTTTTAAGTATTATTTTTCATTTTGTTACATAATTAGAACTTTTTTTAAGATAGAGAATTTTAACAGTTCAAATTTGTTTAGTTGATGTTGCATGTTGTTACTAGTCAAATTTTATCTCACCCACCTAATT
This sequence comes from Homo sapiens, assembly GCF_000001405.40. NCBI lineage: Eukaryota > Metazoa > Chordata > Mammalia > Primates > Hominidae > Homo > Homo sapiens. Next base: position 24,242,245 of record NC_000002.12, on the reverse strand, counting down.
TGCATTATGTTCATTTTATTCCTCATTTTCTTTTTTTAGGACCCAATGTTGTCTTCCAGTTGTGAAAGCACCCCAGAGACCCACTATCCAAGTTTCACTCTAGCGTGGAGGCAGGGCAGGCAGCCCTGATCAAATATCTCCTACACAATTCGTTTACTTCGTTTGAATGTTAGAGCCACTTGTGATTATTTTTTTGTGTTTCTAACTTACAGTTTAAATTTATTTGTAAAAAGTTAAAGGATAGTGGGTCTTTGTGTGGCTTTCCCTGCTGTTCACTCTGGCATCTTTAGCATTTTTCTTCTTTTTTAATTTGATAATTGTAGGTCATTAGCATGCATATTGAGTTTGCCCTTATGTGGTGGGAGTTCAAACACACAAAGACCCACTATTTGCACAAACTATTCTTACTGGTTTGGAATAGGCTGCCATGCTTTTTTAATGTTATTGCAACATGTGTATTCATTTACAGAATTCAGATAAAATTTGCTTATGTTCTGCTATTATGTTTGATCTAATCCTAATCACAGTGAGCTCTTAATTAGCTCAATATGTGGTTTGCCCTCAAGTGTGCACTGTTTATTACTTTGTAATATGCCACTATGAGTACTGACATTTAGATTTGTTTAAAGGCCAAGAACTGGAAACAGCCATGCCCTGTTTTCTGTGTATTTGGGATGGGAATAACAACATTTTGGGGGAGCTTTTTAAATCTCAGAGAAGAGGAAAGTGGCCTGCTCTGGCAGGTATGTGCAGTGTTTCATTTGTTCCAGTCCCAAGAATGAGCACTGTCCTATGGTAGTTCGCTTAGGATCTTTATGTGCTCTGGGCTAATGAAGGTACTGCATCATGTGCTGCAGCGTGTGTATTCTTTTTCGATGACCTATAAAGGGATTATTTTTGAGGAATGAAAGGCTCCCATCATTGACTGTGAGATGGGAAAAACCTTTCCTAGCTTAGAGCATTTATATCTTAATCCATTTTAAAGTCAGAGTTCATTGTTACCTGTTTTAATCAGGTGACTACATGTCCCAGTATACAAAGGGGCACTGGTTGACATTCTTCTTAATGTATTTAGTAAATATCATAAGAAATCCTTTAAGAGTTTAAATGTCCCCAAAACAGACATGTGGGCTCTAGTCAAGAATGAATTAGAGTGAAGGAAAGCTGTGTAACACCTGGCATTCCTCTGTGTTCATGGAGCTTCTTTGAGGCTCTAAGATTGATTTTACCATCAGACTTCTCTAATACCTGTTCTTCAACCATATTGGCTACTTTGACATAAGAATTTACTTCTTTTCCTGGAATGGAAAACACTTTAAAAAATAATAACAAACATTATTATAAACTAATATATGTGAGAGTACTTAGTTGATACAAAAAGGAGTTTTAGTAGACAGTATTATACTATATTTGAAAATCAAGGAGAATTTTATGCAACTTAAAATGTTTACAAACTGCAGTGCAATCTACTGTTTGTGAATGTCAAAGTATCAGGAAAAGTGTATATACAATCACAGAGTCATATTTCCTCACAAAGTTATTTACAAAGAGTGAAATATGTTTTTGTACCTCTCAGTTTCAGTTAGAGGCATATTTTGTGCAATATTTATGTTAATGTGCCTATACATTATGAATGAATTATTTCAGTCATACATTGCCTAAATCATAACTTTATGATGCTTGGGAAAGAATCAACAGTTAAAACTTCATAAAGTTATAATGTCTGTGTTCCAAAATACATCACATTATTAGGATGTAGGGAGATAAGTATGTGTGCTCCCTAGGGTGGCAATTTCTAGTTACTAGACCACCTCTATTTTTAGCATTTGGCATCCTCATGATACTTTTATAAATATGACATTAATAGGAAAGCAATAATTTCATTTTACAGATAGAATAACAGATTTGCCTGCATTCACTGAAAGAGTGCAAAGACTGGGTCCTTGTGAATTCAACTGACTCTCCCAAATTGTATTAATTACCTGTTCTTGCCTTTTATTTTCTGAACTTGCTGCTTTTGCATTCTTTTGAGTTCAAAGACAGTTACTTTAAATCCATTTTTAAACCCTCGGGGTAGAAATCATACCACTGTTAATCAGCCACATTATTTGGTCTAAGGTTTTTTCTTTATAATTCTGAAACTGAGTTTATCTAATACATTGATGAATTATTTCAAACGTATTTTTATAGTTCAAATCACTTCACTTTTACACTGATAAATATAAATTACTGGGAATGACCTTCAGACAGCGTTTAGCATCTGTAACCAACCTGAAAATAATATGTTCATCAGGTACCTATGGATTAAATCATATACTGGCGTATTTAAGCTGAATGTCAGTCTGGAAAATAAATTTACTATATTAACTGAAATACCACTCTTTGTGTAGGTATTTTGTCATGTATTTAAGAAAAAGATAAAAAGAATGGAAATCATATGACATAATAACTTAAGTCTTTCTTAAAAGTGCATGCTGTCTTTTGCAATACCTCATTCAGCCAAGTATTTGTTCTCTTCCTCATTCAGTATAAGTCAGCTTTCAATTTGCTTAGAAGGCAACATTAGAAGGTTAGAGTTCATCAGAAACATAGAATTTTAAAATGTGAGTTCAACTGAATAAATTTGAATTTCTGTAGGAGGTAAAGAATCAAAATACCTGTTTAAAGATTGCAATTGCAATGTATAATAATCACTTTTAAATTATTTGATTAAACCTTTTAGGTTTTCCAGAAATGAAAAAAATCAGTTCTAAAACCAAAGCTGATTTTTAGAAAATTTGAGAATGTAAATCAGCCCTATCCATAATATAGTTTCTCTAAAACTTTATCTTAAAGAGTCATTTTAAAATAATATAACTATTAAAAATGTAACTGATATTTAAATGTTTTGAAATAAAACATTTTAAAATATAAATACTGTAGTTTAAAAGAAAGAAACTGGGGGAAAGAAAAGTAGAGAAAGAAATACCAATTCCAGTCCAAAGCTTTATTTGCCAGGTTTTCTTAGAATGACTTTTACCAGTTTATGAATTCTTGTAAACAGAATCTATAATGGAAATACTGAAAGACTTTTGCCTAAAGTGGCATTATTGAATGCTGCTGTGATGCTACTGTAATGTAATAAATTATTAAATTGTTGCAAAGTGCTGTTTTTGCCTTAAAATTTTATTTTGTGTGTCTTGAAAATTATAGTATTAAAGGTATTGAGATTGTGCAAATGCTGGGCACGCTTGGCATGAGATAATCTGTTTTTATTTTTACAAAATTGTAATATAACTATGCAAGTGTGTTTATTAAAAGAACACAAACTATATTAGTTGTATTGTGTATTTCTTTTGAAACATTCTTTAAAACTTACTTTTAATTGTTTTTATTTAGTCATGATTAAATGTCTTTGGAATGTCTCTTTTTCCTTAATGTAGTCTCATGAGAACAGGCCAGCAAATTGTTTTATATCATAGGGGGCAAAATAAATGTATAAGTGGTCAAGATGAAGATAATTTGATTGGAGATAATCATATGTATCTCAAAAGTGAAATAAAGTTTGATTTTAATACATTGTTGCTCACAAAAGTAAGGAAAACATAATCTAGGGTAATAGACTTGTGTTTTTATAAGTTTTACTGCAACTTTTTTCTAAAAAGATTGGATGGAACTTACAAATTAATACTCATTGCAAATGTAGAGTAAGACTTTTAGTACAAAATAAGAGTTTATGTAAAAGAAACAGCAGTGAATGCTTGGAGGTATCAAAGTTAAGCAGTGTTAAAGTTAATCATGTTGGTGGTCGTATAAGCCCTTGGGTGGAAAGAAAGATATGGATCTAAATCCAGTCCATCTGTCAACATCTAGCACAAACAACCTCTTTCCAAAAAGCCTTTCCTCATCTCCGGAAACTTATTCAACTAACATGTATGAAGTGTTTACATAAGGCTAAGCAGGTGCTGGGGATACAAAACTGAGTGTCAAGTGGCCATTGTCTTAGGTGGTACATAGTTCTTTGAGGGGATTAGGCCCATATGCAGATAATTATAAAACAGCATATTCAGCACAGTGATAGATATTTGCCAGGCACTTAAGGACTACAGAGAAGGAATACCAAATTCAGCCATAGATTGGTGAACGAGAGACTTGCTGGAGGAAGCAACTGCCAGGTCCATAAGATAAGTAGCAATAAGCCAGATTTGGTGGGTAGGATGGTGGAGTGTATGATAAAGACAAGAAATGGCATGGTGGGGAAGTGTAATTATAAGCATTTCAGTATCGTCAGAATGGAAATACAGAGCCAGGAACTATAAAAGTTGAGGCTTGAGAGGCAGGCCAAGGGCTAAGTCAGAAATTCTCTAGCTCAGCTGTATGTTGGAATCACTTGGGAAACTTGAAAAATCTATAGTTTCCAGGGTCCTAATTTAAATGGATTGAAGTTCGGCCTGATCGTGGGGATCTTTCAAAGCCTCCCATATGATTCTGATATGCACCCAAGGTGGAGCAAAAAATGATGAAACGGAGTTCTGAGGGAAAATTGGCAGGAACTGGAGATAGATGGAATATGAGTGTCGGTGGAAAAGTCAGTTATTTCCAGATTTGTGTCTTGAGGGACAGGATGGGATAATGGTGCCACCAACTGCAGTGAAGAATTAGAGTTGGGGGAAGAAGAGGAGTTTGGAGCACCTATGGGATGTCCACATAGAGTTGTCAAGCAGGTGGTCAGATAAGATAGACAACATCAGATGTACACCACCTGGTGGAATGACATACATATTGGTAGTTGTTGAACCAGTGAAAGTAGATGAGATTACTTGGGAAGAAGATCAGACCTCCTAGAAGATCAGCAGTTAAGGGTTGGATAGTGAAAGGAACTCACAAAGATGGGAAACAGGTTATATGAGAAAGAGATTATTTTGCTATTTTCATGATTTTTAAAAAATAATGAAATTTTGGCTCTGCAACCATCTCTCACACCAGTAAAAATAAAAGAGGAAAAGTGCTCTTTTTTGAGGACTTCTTAGTTTAGATACTTTTCTAAGGTCCTTGAATGTATTACCTCTTCATTGTTTTCTTTTTTGAGATACAGAAATTAAAACAGATTAGATAATTTGTCCAAGTGGAACCTGCTAGTAAGCGGTAGAGGTGGTCCATGGTCTGGCTCCCAAGTCCATGCTGTTAGCCTCTACACTAGTGTGCTGATATTGCCACCATCTCCTAATAATGAACTTCGGCACTACAACTGTTACTCATACCAGTGAAACAAAAACAGGATGGTGGCTCATGCCTGTAATCCCAGCACTTTTGAGAGGCCAAGGTGGGTGATTACCTGAGCCTAGGAGTTTGAGGCCAGCCTGAGCAACTTGGTGAAACCTGTCTCTACAAAAAAAAATAAAAAATAAAAGATAGATAGATAGATAGATAGCTGGGAGTGGTGCTGCTGCACGCCTGTAGTCCTAGCTACTCAGGAGGCTGAGGCAGGCAGTTCAATTGAGCCTGGGAGATCGAGGCTGCAGTGAGCTGAGATCACACCACTGCACTCCAGCCTGAGTGACAGAATGAGACCCTATGTCCAAAAAAAAAAAAAGAAAAAAAAACACAGGAAAAATCAGAGATTGCACAGGCTTTTCTCTATGTAAAAAGGACACACAGAGAAGAGTCAAGGAGTCAAAGACTGAACATAATAAACAAGGACAAGACTCTATGACAATAGTATCCAGAAGGATAAAGCTGAATGTAATCACTTTTTTTGGTAACAGCTTCATTGAGATACAATTCACTTGCCATGCAATTGGTGGTTTTTAGTGTATTAACAAAGTTGTCCAACCATTTCCACAGTCACTTATAAGACATTTTTATCACCTCAAAATGAATCTCTGTACAATTTAGCTATCACCCCCATTTCCCTAAGCCCCCCTCCAGCCTTCAGCCCTGAGCAGGCACTAATCTTTTGTCTCCATGTTTGTCTATTCTGAACATTTCATATGTATGGAATCATAAAATGTGTAGCATTTTGTGATTGGCTTATTTCACTTAGCATAATGTTTTCAAGGTTCATCCATGTAGTAGCATGTAGCTGTACATCATTCCTTTTTATGGCCAAATTAACATCCCATTGTGTGGATATGCCACGTTTTGTTCATTCATTATTTAGTGGACATTTGGGTTGTTTCAACCATTTGGCTATTGTGAATAATACTGCTGTGAACATTTGTCTACAAGTTTTTGTGTGAACATATGTCCATGTTTCTTTTGGATATATATCTAGGAGTAGAATTCCCAGGTCAAATGGCAAATCTATGTTTAATTTGTTGAGGACCTGCCTCACTGGCTGCACCATTTTCTATTTCCGCCAGCAGTGTACAGGGCTTTCTGTTACTCCACATCCTCACCGGCACTTGTTATTATCTGACTTTTATTATAGCCATCCAGTGGACATAAAGTGACATCTCACTGTGGTTTTGATTTGCATTTCCCTGATGACTAATGATATTGGGCATCTTTTCATGTGCTTGTTGGCCATTTGTATACCTCCTTTGGAGATATGTCTATTCAGATCCTTTGCCCGTTTTAAAATTATTTGTCTTCATAATCACTTTTTTAAAAGACTTCATTTTTTAGAGTAGTTTTAGGTTCACAGCAAAATTGAGAGGAAGACACAGAGATATCCCATATGTCCCTTGCCCCGACACAGGCATAGCCTCCCCCATTAACAACAACCCCCACCAGAGCAGTACATTTGTTACAATTGATGCACCTACATCATGTCATTATCAAAGTCTGTAGTTTACATTAGGGTTCAGTCTTGGTGCTGTGCATTCTGTGGGATTGTACAAATGGGTAATGACATACAGCTACCATCACAGTATCATACAGAGTATTTTCACTACCCTAAAAATCTTCTGTGCTCTACCTGTTCAGCTCTCCCTCCCTCCCATCCCCTGGCAACCACTGATCTTTTTACTGTCTCCATAGTTTTGCCCTTCCCAGAATATCATATGATTGGAATCACACAGTACATAGCCTTTTCAGATTGGCTTCTTTTACTTAGTAATAGGCATGTAAGTTTCCTCCATATCTTTTCATGGCTTGATCCTTTCGTTTTAGTGCTAAATAATATTCCGTTGTCTGGGTATACCACAGTTATCCACTCACTGAAAGATATTGTGATTCCTTCCAAGTTTTGGCAATTCTGAATGAAGCTGTTACAAATATCTGTGTGCAGGCTTTTTTGTGGACATAAGTTTTCATTTCCTTTGAATCAATACCAAGGTGTGTGATTGCTGCTGGATCATATGGTTTAAGAGTATGTTTAGTTTGTAAATGGCAAACTGTCTTCCAAAGTGGCTGTACCATTTTGCATTCCCTCCAGCAATGAATGAAAGTTCCTGTTGTTCCACATCCTTGCCAGCATTTGGTGGTGTCAGTGTTACAGATTCTGGCCATTCTAACAGGTGTGTAGTGGTATCTCATTTTTGTTTTAATTTGCATTTTCCCAACAACGTATGATGCAAAGCATCTTTTTATATGCTTATTTGCCATCTGCATATCTTTTTCCATGAGGCATCTGTTAAGGTCTTTGGCCCATTTTTTTATTTGTTTTCTTATTGTTGAACTGTTAAAAGAGTCCTTTCCATATTTTGAAAAATAGTTCTTTATCAGATACGTCTTTTGCAAATTTTTTTTCAGTCTGTGCCTTGTCTTCTCATTCTCTTGACCACATCTTTTGCAGAATGAAAGTGTTTACATTTAATGAAGTCCAGCTTATCAACTCTTTCTTTCATGGATTGTGTCTTTGGTATCATATCTAAAGAGTCATCACTAAACCCAAGGTTATCTAGATTTTCGCTTACACTATTTTCTGGGAGCTTTATAGTTTTGTGTTTCAGATTTAGGTTTGTGATGCATTTTGAGTTGATTTTTGCGAACAGTAGAGACCTGTGTCTATATTTCATTTTAAAGACAATTTCTTTTTTTTTTTTCGCATTTGGATGGCCAGTTGTTCCAGCATCATTTGTTGAAAAGAGTATCTTTGCCCCATTGTATTGCCTTTGCTCCTTTGTCAAAGGTCAGTTGACTCTATTTATATGGGTCTATTTCTGGGCTCTATTCTGTTTCATTGATCTATTTGTGTATTCTTTGGCCAGTATCACACTGGCTTGATTACTGCAGCTTTCTAGTAAGTCTTGAGGTCAGGTAGTGTCAGTTCTTCAGTTTTATTCTTCTCCTTTAATTTTTTTGTTGGCTATTCTGGGTCTTTTGCCTCTCCGTATAAACTTTTAGAATCAGTTTTAGAATCACTTTTTAAACTTTGCTTTAAAGAACAACAAATTATGAAGGACATTCTTAAGAGAGATGTTTTAAGCTTGTCAAAAGGCAAAAATCACTTACTCTTTCAAAGAGAACGATAAATGAGTGTAGTGGGAAGTATAGTGGGAGGATTGCTTTGATTCCTGTCTCAGCTAGCTCACCCCTCCGAGCCTTAGCCTGGTCTGTATAAGTGAGAATAATAATACCCACATTGCACATGAGGCTTAAGGGGTTTGTAAAGCACAAGTTTAATGTCTGACACATAATAGATACTAGAAATAACAGCTAACATTTAGTAAATATTTGCTGTGTACCAAGTCATGAACTAATCTTTGGGTTGTCTGAGTAAGTAGTAGAGTTGGAACTCAAGTCCAGATCTGACTTCAGAACTCATTCTCTTAGCCACCCCCACATGCTGCTTTCCATTAACTGGGAGCTGCTCTTAACTCCCAACCACAAAAGCAGAACAGTCATCAGTTAATTGCAAGATGGAGGGTAAAGAAAATTAACTGCTTTAAATGAATCCAAGCTGGTCAAGTTACATTCCAAGGTACCGAAGAACCTGCCACTGGGATCCCTGTGTCACCGGTGGTCATCCATTAGCCACCTGAAGTCAGAGTCAGCCAGTGCTATAGAATTTGTGTGTCCTAAACTCAGCAATTTGGGGCAAAGTCTCCAATTATGTATGTAGTCATAAACAAGTGGAAAACATGAGTTATATGAACATACCATTGGGGGAGATTAATGGTGTAATAAGCTGTTCAGTAATACTAAGAAAAAATATATATGTGCATATGAAACCCGTATTGCCCAAGGACAGAACTGTAGTAATCAGTGCACTGATACAAAGTGCTACAGTGCATGGAACAGTCTCTTTGGAACTGGCTATTAGATACAAGGTCCTAATTGTGTGTGTGACAGAGTAGAAGGGTGTGTAAGGGAATAATTATATCACTTAGACATAAAAAAGAGTTAGAGTAAGGGCCTTGTTTGCTTTTTCATTGCTTTGGGCTAATTGGCATTCAGAATATTTATCCTAAACCTTTTTTGCCTTTAGAATTCAGTTCACCAAGCATAGGACCTGGTAGGTTTATACATGGAATCTCCAGTAATTGCAGTGTAAGCATCATCTTAAATGGCCTGCCATTGGAAAGTATAAGACTTGAATCAAGTTACCTAGATTTAGATATGTAGTAGCTCTAATTTATCTGGTAAGTCTCTTCACCACTAAGCTTCAGATTATCTATTTACTTATAGAGCAGGGGTCAGAGCTGTTATCAGTTATTCGGAGGATTGATCAGGGTTTGAAAATCATCATACACATATTGGTATAGTTATTTTTATTGTTAGAATTGAAAGTTCTAACATGATGAAACTACTATTTCATATCTCTTTATAATAGTCTATATCCTGCATCTCACATTAACTCCCTCAATTGAGTCATGGTACAAGTCTGGCAGGTTAGAAGGTAATGCAGATTTTAGCCTGAACTAACTGCTCTCTGGGGCCAGGTCTGCGCTTTTGTCTATCATTAGGAGGTCATTGCTGTCTTAGGCTTATGACCTTTTACAGTAGATTCAAAAGTAAAAATAAAACCAATAAAATTTGTCTTTATCTGGTTGCACTTGTCAATATAGTTGCTTTTGGAAATTCTAGAATATGACTATTTTCTGATAGGCAAATAGTTTGCTTTCTGATGGTCTGCAACATTAGAATATGATTTCAACTTCTTTCCTTTTTGTGCTTACAGGAGCAACATAGCTCCTAATGGAGTAGAACTTGACAGGCCTCAAAAAGACATGAATTTAGAAATTTGTCCAGTAATTATTTAAATTTCCAAAAGTAAAAACAAATATCTTTGTGGTGGAAGCATGCTACCCGGTACTCAATAAATATTTGCCAAGTGGATGAAAAGCTATTCTTTTACAACATAAAATATCTTGTAACTTTCTAGTGTCCTGATAAAACTTCAATAAAAAGGCAGCCTTCAGAAAATGCAGTTTATTCATCTAGATTTACTGTTAAAAATCTCATCTTTTCACTGAGCTTAACTACAGTATAACTGGAAACCATTATGTGATACTCTGGCCGCATAAGTGGGCACACAGAGAATAGCATTGTTCACCGGCACTGCTCCCCTCCAAATGGGCAAGGACTTTTGTGGGACTTGTGACATAATCTGAACAAGCACTCTCTGTGTTCGTCATCACAGATTGTCTTTTGTCCTTTACCTCCTGGAATCTGCCCAGATCTTTCCCCTCTCCTTTCTTAGGCATCTCTTGTTTGCTTCTTATTCTTGCTTGCACTGTAACTTGGAATAGTGCTTCCCAACTATGGTGCGACATACCTATGATTCATAACTTGTCTCTCAGTCTCCACATCCTCCCACAGTGTGGGGGTGGGTCTTGTGGCCCAGCCCACTACTAATTATTCCTCTGGGAACATCAACCTGATAGTAGCCATGATCTCTCATCTTTCTTCTTTGCCCACTCTTCTTGTCTACCAAAAAGGACCTACCAGGAAGTTTTCATCAATTTCTCTGACTGCCTGTAGTCAACACTGCTGTACTGTCTCCTGAAGCTCAGAGTGTATCTTCACATCACATTCCATAAATGCTTATCGAAGCCCTCCTGTGTGTCAGACACTGGGGATGTGGCAAATTATAAGACAAAAATTTCTGCCATCTTGGAGCTGGTGTTTGAGTAGGCTAAAACAGAAAACGAACAAAATGAGAATGTGAAGTGTGTAGCATCTTAGAAAAATGAAGCAGGGAAGAGGAATGGGAGTTCTGCAAGGGAGGTGGATCCAGAGGGATTTTATTTTGAATAAAATACTCAGATAAAACCTCTCTGAGATAGTGACGGCAGGCAGAGACTGGAGGGGTGTGAGGATATCTGGAGGGAGCCATGCGGATATCTGGAAGATCATTCTGGGCAGATTTTGCACCTGCAAAATCCCTGCAGCAGGAGCATCCTGTGGTGCCTGAGGAATAGTGCGGAGGCCTGTGCGGTGGGAAGAGGGAAGAGCAGGAGAGAAGGAGGAAGCGAGGGTCTGGGTGTGACCTAGGAAATGAAGGAGGTTGTTTAGGTTCTTGTGGGCTATTTATAAACTTTGGCTTTTGTTTGGAGTGAGAAGAACCCATTGGAGGGTTTTTATTATTTTTATTTTTATTTCTTTTTTTTGAGATGGAGTTTCACTCTTGTCGCCCAGGCTGGAGTGCAATGGCATGATCTCCGGTCACTGCAACCTCTGCCTCCTGGGTTCAAGCAATTCTCCAGCCTCGGCCTCCCAAGTAGATGGGATTACAAGTGCCCACCACCATGCCCAGCTAATTTTTATATTTTTAGTAGAGACGGGGTTCCACCATGTTGGCCAGGCTGGTCTCCAACTCTTGACCTCAGGTGATCCACCCACCTCGGCCTCCCAAAGTGCTGGGATTACAGGCGTGAGCCACCGCACCCAGCCAAGGGTTTTAATGAAAGGAGTGACATGATCTGGTGTGTTTTAACAGTACTGCTCTGCCTTGCCAGATTAAAGAGGGGAAGGGATCAGAAGCCAGGAGATCCATTGGAAAGCTACTTCAGTAATCCAAGCACAAGATGATGATAACTTGGATCAGAACAGCCATGGGGGACGTGTGAGAAGTGGTCTGGATGTATTGTGAAGAGGGATCCCACAGGTGGATTGAATGTGAAGTGTGAGAAGTATCAGGTGGCGTGAGCAGCTGGAGAGATGATATTGCCATCCACTGAGGTGGAAAATTATAGAGGAGCAGGTTGGGAGATGATTAGGGGTTTGGCTTTTGATGTTACTTTGATGTGCCTTTTAGACATCTGAATGGGGATACTGAGTATACAGCAGAACGTGTGAAGAAGTTCAGGGAAGATGTTCAGGCTGGAGTGTAAATTTGGGAGCCTATCAGTACATAAATAAGCCATGAGAATGAACTGGGTCACCAAGGCTCTGAGTATGTCGAGGAAAGTTCCAAGGACTGAATCTTAGGGCACTGCGACATTAGAAGTCTGGAGAGTTGAGGAGGAACGAGCAAAGGAGCCGTGGAAGGGCAGACCAGTGAGGTGGGAGGATATGAGGAGAGGAGAGGTGGTGACCTGGAAGACGAGTGAAAAAGGATCTCATGAGGATCGAGTCATCAGCAATCACAGATGTTAGCGATAGGTCAAGTAAAATAACGGAGGAGGCTACCTGGGGAGATTAGGAAGTTCTTTTTCTTTAAAGTGAAATATCTGAAAATAATGTTAAATGTATAATTTTCCAGCTACATTCAGTAAACATTTTTCTACAGTAATATTGATTCCTTGGTGTTTGTTGAAATTGGTTCTGTGGGTTCTTTGTGTTGTTGTTGAGACAGTGTCTTACTCTGTCACCCAGGCTAGAGTGCAGTGGCACAATCTTGGCTCACTACAACCTCTGCCTCCTGGGTTCAAGTGATTCTCGCACCTCAGCCTCCTGAGTAGTTGGGATTACAGGCGCCTGTCACCACACTCAGCTAATTTTTGCGTTTTTAATAGAGATGGGGTTTCGCCATGTTAGCCAGGCTGGGCTCGAACTCCTGACCTCAAGTGATCTGCCCACCTCGACCTCCCAAAGTGCTGGGATTACAGGCGTGAGTGAGCCAGCACGCCCAGCCTGGTTCTATGGAAAAAGAATGTATAGTCTCTTGTATGTGTGTTCATATGTTAACCTTGTTAATAGTGTTCAAATCTTTCATATTCTCATTAATTTTCATTGAGAGAACTATATTAAACTCTACTACGATTATAGATATGTCAGTTTTTTCTTTTTTTTGGAGGGAGGTGGGGTATGGGTCTTAGTTTTTTATTTTACACTTTGAGGCTTTCCTGTTAGTTGTTTTTTTATTTTACACTTTGAGGCTTTCCTGTTAGTTGCAAATAAGATCAGAATTATTCTTCTTCCTGGTGAATGTTTCTACCATCTCATACGGGTCCTTAAAGCCTAATTTGTCTGTTGTAATAAAACCTCCCCAGTTGCTTTTAGAATTTTTATTTGGATAGCTTTTTCTAGCCCACTACTTCCAACACTTCTATGACCTGATTTTTAATCCAGAGCCTCTCTTTTCACTGACAGATTTAAGCCATTTACATTGATTAAAACAATTTAATACTTTTATTTGTATCTATTTTATTATGTATTTTCTATTTACCAGGCATTTTCTTTGCCCCTTTTTGTTCTGCTGACACAGGGACTTCTGTCGCACTGATCAAGTTTCTTTGTTTCTTTTATTGCCCTCTACTGGTTGGGAAATTATGTAGTCTATGTCTGTTCTTTGAGTGGTTACCTTTCCATTTTTAACATACCTGTTTGCCTTTGATCAATATCTCTTCCTTCTGCTGATCAATGCAAGGAGGATGATTTATCTCTAATGATTCTCTTATGTCTTTCATGTTATTACATTTTTGTGTTTTAACTTCACCTTGTATTTATACCTGCCAACTTAGTATTATTGTTGTTTTATACAGTCAATGATTATTTTGATTTCTTACACATTTACTAGTATTTTGGCTCACCATTTCTCATATCTCTTTTCTTTTTCCTTCTTATGTAATTTCCTTCTTCCTGAAATACGTCTTTTAATAGTTTTTCCAGTCATGTCTATTAGTGGTAAATGCGCTCAGACTTTGTCTGAAAATGTGTTTATTTCTCTGTCATCTGTGATTTAGATTTTTAGCTGGACAGTTATTTTTTTCTCTGTGTTGTGTGTTATGTGCAGCCAGTCTAATTGCTGTTCATGTGGTTATTCTGATTTTTCTTTCTGACTGTTTAATCATGTTTTTTCTTCCCTCCTTGGTGTTCTGGTATGGATTTATTTTTTTCCTAATCAGAAGCCATTGTTCTGAATTTGAGGCATTGTATCATTCTTCAATTCTAGAAAAGTCTCAGCCATTATAATCTCAATATTACCTCTCTCAATTCTTTCTATTCCCTTCTCCTGGACTACCTGTCAGATGTATGTTGGGCCTTGTCATTCTGTCCTCTGTGTCTCTTAACTTCCGTTTTATGTTTTCCATCTTTTTTTTCTTTTTTTAGTGCAATGGCACGATCTTGGCTCACAACAACCTCTGCCTCCCAGGTTCAAGCAATTCTCCTGCCTCAGCCTCCTGAGTAGCTGGGATTACAGGCACCCGCCACCATGCCCCGCTAATTTTTTGTATTTTTAGTAGAGACGGTTCACCCTGTTGGCCAGGCTGGTCTTGAACTCTTGACCTCAGGTGATCCACCCGCCTTGGCCTCCCAAAGTGCTCAGATTACAGGTGTGAGCCACCATGCCCAGCCTTCCATCTCTGTTTCTTTCTGGGCTACATTCTAAATAATTCTTCACATCTGTTTTTAGGTTTACTAATTCCTAGGATGTGTTTAATCTGCTATTTAATCTATTAATTTATCATTTCCATGACAATATTTGCCATTTTTATTCTTTTTCAACTCTCCTTATTCTTTCTTTTAATAGACTACCTATGGCTTCAAGCCCTTCATTATGTGTCTTGAGTAATGTTAAACATATATATTTTACATCTCCATGTGTATTTTTGTTCTACTGTCATATGTTCTTGGTGTTCTAATCCTCATTTTTCAATTTATGGTGGATTTTTCCCGTTTTTTGTAATTTTTTTTTTTTTTTTTTTACTTTGAGCTCATCTTTAATGAGACTTGGTTTTTCTGTGGAATCTCATGGAGCCACAGTTGTGAGTGTGACCCTCCAGGCCAGTTGCACCATTCCTTTGGCCAGTCACCCTAAGGGTATCACCAGCTAGTGACCAATTTTTGTGTTGTTTTTTGTTTTTCTTTTTCTTTTTTTGAGATGGAGTCTTGCTGTATCGCCCAGGCTGGAGTGCAGTGACACGATCTCAGCTCACTGCAGCCTCTGCCTCCCAGGTTCAAGTGATTCTCCTGCCTCAGCCTCCCAAGTAGCTGGGACTACAGGCAGACGCCACCACCCCTGGCTAATTTTTGTATTTTTAATAGAGATGGGGTTTCATCTCTACTAAATGTTAGCAATAGGTCCAGTAAAATAACAGAGGAGGCTACCTGGGGAGATTAGGAAGTTCTTTTTCTTTAAAGTGAAATATCTGAAAATAATGTTAAATGTGTAATTTTCCAGCTACATTCAGTAAACATTTTTCTACAGTAATATTGATTCCTTTGTGCTCAGACCTCAAGTGAGCACCAAGAAAAACCAGAATAACCACATGAACAGCAATTAGACTGGCTGCACATAACACACAACACAGAGAAAAAATAACTGTCCAGCTAGAAATCTAATTCATGGATGACAGAGAAATAAATACATTTTCAGACAAAGTCTGAGCACATTTACCGCTAATAGAACTCCTGACCTCAAGTGATCTGCCCACCTCGGCCTCCCAAAGTGCTTGGATTACAGGTGTGAGCCACCATACCTGGCCAATTTTTGTGTTAATTCATCTGAATTCTTGAACTCCAAGTTTGTGTAAGATGCAAGCCCAGCATTTCCATTCATTACTTAACAGACAAAAAACTTTTTAATCATGTCACTCTTCTGGAGAGAGGACATTTTTCCTACTCCACCCTGTAACATTCAGTCTCCTGCCAGAGTTTCCTCTCATTGGCCAAACCCAGGCAGAGGCCAAATAGAACAGAAGCTTAGAAAAAACAGCCTGCAGGATTGGCTTTTTTGCAGCCCAGAGCAGAACAGGGAAAAGGTGAGAAATGGACCTGGGCACAAACAGGCCTAGGACCAACACAATATTCTATCCCCTAACAAATATTCCCTGACTGCAGGTAGCCAACACGCTGTGCTCAGCTTGCTATTACAGAAATGTGTTAGACACAGTCCCTGGTCTGCAGTCAGAGCCACTGACACCGTAACTACACAGATTAACAACAGCACCAGTTAGACGATGTGTAATGTTAAAAGACAGATACAAACCAGTACCATGGAAACACTGCATGTGTTCAGCGGTCACAGCTTGCTAAGGGCTACTCTATTGACAATGCAGGTATAGAGAGTGGCAAAGGGGTGTATCCTATCCATAAAACCCGAATTCCTCAGTTCATCAGGACTTTTCTCAGGACAAAAAAGATGTTACCCTCCCTCCTCTCAAAAAAAGAGGATTCTGTGGTCAAATACGTGTTGGGAACCCTGAGCTCATCAAATTTTTCTGTAGCACAGAGTTTCTCACTGCCTAATAGGCTAATGTGCACTGGGGCCCTGCGAGTGAGATATACAGCCTGCAGCATTGTCTGGATTCATCTGACCGCACAGGACAGGAGCATCAGGAGCCTATTTTGGCATTTGCTGGACTGGGGGGAGCAGAGAGCCAGGCAGCAGGCAAGAGGCAGAAGACAGAAGGAAACACCAAGAAGAGGAGAGGCTCAAGGGCTGAGAAAGGCAGACTCAAGTCTCCAAAAAAGCCTCCCATCCAAGGCGCCTGTGCTGTGGGCCGGCAGGGGAGGGTGCAAGCTCAGAAGAGGTCACTGAACTTGGCAATGCCAAGGTCATCGATACCTTCCCGAGAGCAGTGTCGGGCAGTGGGGCAGAAACCAGAATCCCGAGTGGAGATGTGACAGGGAAAGCTAGCGAGAGTTGGCCATGGGTGTAAACCCCTCTAGTGACATTTGCCAATGAGACCAAAGGCAGGCGGTGCTGAGGAGGGGGCAGGGTTGGAGAAGTGTGCTTGTTGGTTGGTTTCAAACAGTGGGATAGGAGGGACACTTAGCAATGTTTATGGGCTAAGAAGGAAATGGCGAAGAGTGAACATAGAAGCGTGAAGGAAAGGGAGGGGCCCTGGAGGAGAGGCTGACTACAGACAGTGGCTTTAGAAAGAAACAGGACCCCTCCTTCCCTAACTCAGGAAGGACACACAGGGACAAATGGACAGACAGAAGGGGAGGAAGAGAGGCCTCGTGTCTTTATTTTTTCCCTGACATCAGAGGTAAGAGCATCTGGAAGTGAGGGTAGGAGCTGGGTTGGAAACTTAAACAGAGGGTAAAAATTTAAGAGCAGGCCAGGCGTGGTGGCTCACGCCTGTAATCCCAGCACTTCGAGAGGCCGAGATGGGCAGAGCACTTGAGGCCAGTAGTTGGAGACCAGCCTGGCCAACATGGCGAAACCCCGTCTCTACTAAAGATACAAAAATTAGCTGGGTGTGGTGGGCACCTGTAGTTCCAGCTACTCGGAGACTGAGGCAGGAGAATCGCTTGAACCCGGGAGGCGGAGGTTGTAGTGAGCCGAGATCGCGCCGCTGCACTCCAGCCTGGGCCACACAGTGAGACTCCGTCTCAAAAAAAAAAAAAAAGTTGAAGAGCCGTCATGATGAAATGCAAAAGGGTCAGCTAGGCATGGCATGCCAGGGGTGTCCCCACATTATCCTGCTACAGCTAATGCAATGTATAGTCTAGTTTTAGAAACAAATATCTGAGGTTCTTGCTATTATTCCAAGGTATTATTCCAGATACAGTGGCCAATACTTGTGGTTTTTAATGTAAATCATTGTTTCCCAAGGTGTGATAGTTGTATCCTTGTGGTGCTCAACGCACTGGTACACAAAATGGACCTGTTTCATTCGAATGATTATATATTTGCTTTAATGATTATTAGAAGAAACATAATGAGCACACTTAACTTCAAACACGAGTACGTTTAGAGAAAAATATTAAGTAAATAATAATAGAGATGGAATGTGGATATGGCAAAAGTCTTGAAAGCAGAACATGAAGTTTGTAAGACAGTGGTGTGGGAGGTGGGGCAACCTTGGAAACTGGTCTGAGTTCCCTCCATCAATCACCTGGCCACACCGAGTAGCACCACTGGATCATATCAGGATCAGTGCCATTTCGCCAGGTGTCTGGTCACCAAGCCTCTCCTTGCTCCACAAAAGCCTCGTCAAGCAGACATTTGGATTAGCCTCAGTGATTTTTTTTAACACTCAGTTACCCTCTGCAGTTCCCCCTGGCAGAAGATAATAAAATACTATCTCCCTAAAAGCGTAACAATTTTGAACATGACAGTGGCATTATGATTTATTTCTTTCTTTTCTTTATTTTTCTTCTTTCTTTTTTTTCTTTCTTTCCTTTCTTTCTTTCTTTTTCTTGTTTCTTTCCTTTTTTTCCCTTCCTTCCCTTCCCTTCCTTCTTTCACTCCTTCCTTCTTCCCTCACTCCCCTCCCCTCCCCTCCCCTTCCCTTTCCCCTTACATTCACTTTTTCCTTCCTTCTCCCTGTTCCTTTCTTTTCCTTTTTTTTTTTTTTTTGAAACAGGGTCTCACTCTTATCTGGCCTGGAGTACAGTGGTGCAGTCACAGCTCACTGCAAACTTGAACTCTCAGACTCAAGCAGTCCTCCCAGCCTTAGCCTCCCAAGTAGCTGGGACTACAGGCACATGCCACCACGCCTGGCTAATTTTTTTTTTTTTAATTTGGTAGAGATGAGAGTCTCACTTTGTTGCCCAGGCTGGTCTTCAACTCCTAGGCACAAGTGATCCTCCCGCCTCAGCCTCCCACAGTGCTGGGATTACAGGCACCACAGTCTATGATTTCTTTTTAGAAACACCAAACATAACCTGCCTTATTCATTTATTTTTTTGTTCTCTGTGGGAGTAATTTCTTTAAAGCTGTTGGCAACATCTGTAGAATATAGAAAAGCTGTCTTCCTTAGAACTGTCTGTAAGCCCAGATCTATACAAAATGTATACAAATGCAAAGGAAATTGGAAAGAGCAACACGCCCTGCTGGATGGACAGTGTCCTGGCAGGTGCAGGGTGCGCCTTCGCTCTGCTGCCCTTCTTGGTTGCCTTAGCTACAGAAGGTCTTCCCTACTTCATTCGTCTCTTTCCCAGTTTTCTGACACAAGCCACTTGCTGCCTCATGTTGTAGCTTGCTGGGTACCTACATGCTGTCAACCTAAATAACGGAGAGGGAGACTCTCTAAAAGAAAGTGATATTTATTTAAGAATAGTTATTGCACCGGGCATGGGGCTCATGCCTGTAATCCCAGCACTTTGGGAGGCCAAGGTGGGCGGATCACCTGAGATCAGGAGTTCGAGACCAGCCTGGCCAATACGGTGAAACCCCATCTCTACTAAAAATACAAAAATTAGCTGGGCGTGGTGGTGTGTGCCTGTAATCCCAGCCACTCAGGAGGCTGAGGCAGGAGAATCACTTGCACCCAGAAGGCAGAGGTTGCAGTGAGCCGAGATTTGCGCCATTGCACTCCAGCCTGGCTGACACAGGGAGACTCTGTCTCCAAAAAAAAAAAAAAAAAAAAAAAGAAAAGAAAAATAGTTATTGTAATGGGAATATGCATACCAACAGGTGCATATTCAGAGAACTAAAGGAGGACAAAAGTTTTTAAAGGAAAAATGAAGAGGATCACATAATTTTTTTAAATATATAATTATCCTTGGCCGTGAGAATCAATAAGGGTGGCACTTGTCCGAGGTTGGACAGGCAGTTGCTGGGCAGATAACCTTGCAGGACTATTTTTTTGTGTCAGGTCACCATGGCCTTTATGTAAGTTTGTGGTTTTGCAGTCTTTTGTGATAGTTCTAGTTATCAAGTATTCATGGATGAGAACTCTCTCTTCATGGCCTTCCCTGGCCCTTTGTCAGGATTTTTAACACAAGTGACTCCATTTTGATTCTGACAACTTCCACTGCTTTTGCTTTTTTTTTTTTTTTTTTTTTTGGAGATGAAGTCTTGCTCTTTTGCCCAGGCTGGAGTGCAGTGGTGCGATCTCGGCTCACTGCAACCTCCACCTCCTGGGTTCACACCATTCTGCTGCCTCAGCCTCCTGAGTAGCTGGGACTACAGGCGCCCACCACCACGCCTGGCTAATTTTTTGTAATTTTAGTAGAGACGGGGTTTCACCGTGTTAGCCAGGATGGTCTCGATCTCCTGACCTCGTGATACACCCACCTTGGCCTCCCAAAGTGCTGGGATTACTCCCAAAGGTGTGAGCCACCATGCCCGGCTGCTTTTGCTTTTTTTTCTAAGAAGGGTTTCCTGAGGTATTTCGCCACATCACTGTGTATAGGCAAGCCCTCAGCTACTTGTTAAGTGACTCTGGAATTATGTCACTTCATAGTTTGACATCTAGTTCAGCTGTGATGTGCCTGTGAATTGATCCATAGTGAATGCAGTACCTCTCACCCTGATGCAAGGTTGCTTGTGACTTTCCTGTCATTTGTGGCTGGATATCTGCAGTGTACCAGGAGTTATTTGTTCTAGTGAGATGAGGCAGTGGTCTTCTGGGAATTGCTGGGATCTGGGAATTTCAGGTTTTATAACCTTAGAACTTTCCTTTAAGAAATCTAGAGACTGTTTCTCAAACATTTTTTTAACAGTAGCTCACAGTGAGAAATACATTTTACATTTCGAATACATACATAACTAAACATTTCACAATATTTACCAAAGCCATATGCATGGTAATTTCTATTTATTTATTTTTTAATGCTGGGCCTGACCAGCATTTTAAAACCAAAATGATATAATGACCCACTAATGGCTCATGACCTGCAGTTTGGAGTGGTCTGAAGCATCTGATTCATTTAATCATTTCAGTAACTTCGAAAAATGTCTTGAGGTGGTGAGATTCTTCACACGCTCTGCACAGTTCTGAAAAGAAATTAGGAGCACATTGAAATGTTACAGACATTGCTGATTTGCCACTTTGGAGCTGTGAGTGCCGGCTCATTAATGCCAACTCTCCGCGTACGCATGCTGCTCTGCAGAAGTTAGCAGCGTCCTTTTTAAGGCTGCGTCATTCTTTCAAAGCAGCATTTGTAAACCCAGCACATCTGCTGACAAATGTCTATTTTCTACAAAGTTGACTAAAGTAATATTTTAAACTACCCTGTTTTTTCCACAGGGTGTGCTGATCTGCAAACCCTGGACACAATGCAGCCAATTGAGAGGAAAAGACAGGGCTATATTCATGAGCTGATTCAGACCGAAGAGCGGTACATGGCTGACCTTCAGCTCGTCGTCGAGGTGAGGAGGCTGCTGCTGGCTAGCTCTCGGGGTATCTGCTGTCTCTCATGAGAGATGGTGGGCATCAGACTCAGGGCTGCCTCCACGCAGAGTCAAAGCAAGGCATCACTTTTGATGTGTGAATTCACAAATAGTGACGGAAGCTCTCACATCCTCCAAATGCTGTCTCTGCCTGCCGGATAATGCTTGAGATTGAAAGTCTCTAATGAGCTCTTTCCCCCAGATGAGGTCACTCAGAGTGAAGCGGGAGAACAAGAGGGCATTCGCATGGCTTCGTTGGATGTGGCAGGAGCCCCATCAAGGAAGGACGGGGATAGAGTGGATGGGAAGGGCCTATGGCAGACCGTAGCTTCCTTGGATATTTGCCTAATATCTGTTTTAACATCTGACATTTTCATAAACTGGTATCTCTGGAGGAACTGTGAAACAGTGAAAGTGTTCACCTCATGGTTGTATCAGTTTGGAAAACCCAATGGGAGCATATTGTAAAATAGTTCCCAAATATCATATAGCTACTGTTTGTTTATACCAGTGACCTCTACGCTGATGACAGCTATCCTTATTCGAGTAGCACTTTAAAATGATTTGTGCTTGAGTGAACAAAAGAAGACTTTCCATTTCTACTATACCTTTGTTTCCATGCCTTTCAGTTCCCAGTGTACAGGCCCTCAGGTGAGAAGACCAGTTACATTAACAAACCACCTGAAAAGAACAGGCGTCCCCTACCCCCACACACCCAACAGGTGCAGCGTATACCTGGCCATGCCTTTCATAGCTGAATGGAGCAGAGGCTGCGTCCTTCTGCGTCTGTTCCCCAGCAAGCCCTGCCCTGGATTCACTCTCCACCTTAAACGCAGGCCTAATGCCTGGGATATCCAGACATGGAATACTTGTTCCCCTCCCATGCAAACTATATGGCACTTCTCGGTTGGTGATATCTATCTTCACTGCACGCCTGTGGGCTCACTGAGAACAGGGACCGTGCAGCCTTCATCCTGTGTTCCCAAAACTTAGCCTGGCCCTTGGTCGGCCTTTCCATAAGTAGTCAGTGAATTGGGTGTGTTTATGTCTGCACCTCTCTGGCCAGGATAGATGGCCTAGAAGAAAAGCCCATCATTTTGATTAATCCCCTACAAGGATCAGCCCTGCTGCTGGTCAGATTCCAGTCCTAAGGCACTGTAAGTAGGTGTGGAGGTCTCCCTAACACTAGGACAGAGGTGAGCAGGCACCGGGTGCTTGCCCCATACTCTGAGGAGTGAAGCATCAGGTCTGGGTCCAGGATTCTGGGTGAAAAGCACCATTCACAGGTGAGGCCTTCTTATGACCATCCTCATGAAGGTTCCCAGAGGCCTGACCAGCTTATTCCCATCTGCTTACCTCACCAAGCCCGGCACAAAGCAGCTACATGGATGGCTAGAGGGGCATGAATGAATCAGCAAATAAACAAACAGATGGACAGCCAGACTCTTCCCTGTCCCTCCATAGCAGCCTCCGAGCAGGCCGGCCGTCTTTCCAGGGCTGCTCTCACAGGAGTGGCCTAGTGTCTTCAGTCTGATTTGGAACTGTAAAACTCTCTTTAGAGAGTGCCCAGCACTTGTACTTGAATTCTGTGAATCCATGTTCAACTCAACTCTGTAAACATGAATTACAAACCACGATGTGCAAAGGGCTATGCCAGAGAACAGAGATGAAAGAAAGTTCTTGTCCTCCAGGAATTCAGAGTCCTGTTGGATGGAGAGAGGTACAGTGGGGCCAGTAAGGCTGAAACCTGGGGTTAGTGACCACCCCAGCCAGGAAGAACTTTCCCAGTTATGTTTTGGACAAGGACAAGTTTGCTACTCCAGGAGGAGGAAACAGAAGTGGGATGGCATGTATGGAGGGAGTCAGGGGCCTACAGGCCATCCAGGGTGACTGGAGTGTGAAGTAGCTGAGGGCCAGGCTGGTGAGGTTGGCAGGGGGCAGGTCTCATAGGCCCTGGAACCTCCAGGAGGAGTCTGTGTCTTATCACACGGACAGTGGAGAGCTTTGAGTGATTCTAATAGCAGCATGTCATGGGCATTTTGGAAAGATGACATATGAGAAGAGTGTCTCAGGTAACTTCTCTATTTCCTTAAGGTGTTTAAAGTCATTCCCTAGGAATCTCAGTTATGCAGTTGAAACTTAGATTTAGAATCAAAAAGAGCTGAATTTTAGTCCTAGGCCTTTCATATTCTGTCTTTGTGATCTTGAGCAAGTCTCCCTCTAAGCCTTTATTTCTTCATAGGTCAATTGGTAATAATAATACCTGACTCAGCTTCGCCTCCATCACCCGTGAAGCTACTTGAGAACCCTGCAAACACACACGCGTGTGTGTACACACACACAAGCATCTGCATATTTGTACATATCAGTGCTTTGTAAATCCTTAAGTGCTATGTAATACAGATGTAGAGTATTACTATTTCTCCCTCAGCAGCCAACTTCTAAAACCCACATCTGCTTAGAGTTATCTTAGGGGTGGCATAAGTTGTTACTCTGGTTCTCCTGTTGAATGTCTCACAAATTGTTGTCTAGAACTCTACGATGCTCCACCTAACAATGGCCTGCTTCCTCAATCCTGCAAGCTTGTACAGTGCCTAGGTGTTCATGCCCATGGCTTTATTTAACCTTCATAACATCCCTAAGAGAGAAATCTGAAAATCTCCTCTTAACCAGATTACTAGATTCAGTCCTTGGAACTAGCCTTGATAAGAGCTGCACTAGCAAAAAGAAAGAACATTATGCAGTATAAAATGTGTCATAAGTATGCTTATTTGGATGATTAGCTTCAGTTTATGTTGACATTATTTGATCTGATTAGTTTCAGTTTATGAAGACATTGTTTGATTTAGACCACACGTAGGCTGTGTATCCACACTTAAGCTAACTAGTTTTTCTATGTTTTGACTTTAGGTTTTTCAGAAACGCATGGCAGAGTCAGGCTTTCTCACTGAAGGGGAGATGGCCCTGATTTTTGTTAACTGGAAGGAGCTCATCATGTCCAACACAAAGCTGCTGAAGTGAGTCCTGAGCATCACCTGTCATTGCCGCTGACCCCAAAGCCCCCAGACTGAGACTCACACAAAACCCTCTGCAAGGGCTTCTTAGCAAAGGAACTTCAACTGCTTTCTGCTTCCTCAGGCTTGTTATTTTATTATCATTTTATGAAATATCCTGTGACTGTAAAATACATAAGTATTGAAGAAAGTAAAGAAATATAACAAAATATTTTGATAAAGAAAAAATTAAATCATTAAACAACATATCAATCTATGATTCCAAGATATAAGATGTCCTTGACCCTGGCAGGGCAGAAGAGTCAGAGGAGAGCTGCAGCTCACGGCGCAGATAAAACTGCCTAGTTTGGTGGCCTCCTAAGTCTCTATCCCCATGTGAAGTTCTACTGTTGGGGTGATTTTCCATCCTTCGTGGCTGTGAGGACAGGCCCCCCAAGGGAGGATGAGCAGTCCCAGCTTCCCTCAGGGATAGTGCCTCTCTGCCTCCACACCTGGCCCCTGCAGCTCCTGCTCCCTTTTTTCTCTTACAGACTGAAAATTTCCTTCTTGGTTCAACCAAGAACAAGTTAGAATCTTTCAAAAGAAACTTTGCCAAGAAGCTAAGGTGAAACCAAAACAATTCTAAAGGCCTTGAAACACCCAAGTGTATTTTTTTTTTTTTGAGATGGAGTCTCACTGTGTCGCCCAGGCTGGAGTGCAGTGGCACAGTCTCAGCTCACTGCAACCTCCGCCTCCTGGGTTCACACCATTCTCCTGCCTCAGCCTCCCGAGTAGCTGGGACAACAGGCACCCACCACCACACCTGGCTAATTTTTTTTTTTTTTTTGAGACGGAGTCTCGCTCTCTCACCCAGGCTAGAGTGCAGTGGCGCGATCTCGGCTCGCTGCCAGCTCCGCCTCCCGGGTTCACGCCATTCTCCTGCCTCAGCCTCCCGAGTAGCTGGGATACAGGCGCCCACCACTGCGCCCGGCTAATTTTTTGTATTTTTAGTAGAGATGGTGTTTCACTGTGTCAGCCAGGATGGTCTCAATCTCCTGACCTCGTGATCCACCCACCTCAGCCTCTCAAAGTGCTGGGATTACAGGCGTGAGCCACCATGCCCAGCTACCCAGGTGTGTATTTTTTAAATTTATTTTTATTTTTATTATTTTTAGAGGCAAGGTCTCACTCTGTCACCCAAGCTGCAGTGCAGTGGTGTGATCGTAGCTCACTGCACCCAACTTGAACTCCTGGATTCAAGCAATCCTCCTACCTCAGCCTCCGGAGTAGCTGGAACTACAGGCGTGCACCACCATGCCCAGCTAATTTTTCATTTTTGTAGAGACAGGGTCTCACTATGTTGCCCAAGCTGGTCTCGAACTCCTGGGCTCAAGCAATCCTCTTGCCTCGGCCTCCCGAAATGCTGGGATTAGAGGCATGAGCCACCGTGCCCAGCCCACCCAACTGCAGGGACTTTATTTACTTTTTTTTTCTTTGCTGACATCACACCCCGGTTGGCTTGACCAGCAGAGCTTTTGGCCCAAGCTATCTCCTCTTCCTCTTGAGTTCTCCTTCCCAGTGCCAGAGGTTCTTAGGTAGCTCACTGGTTATCATTACCATTGGTCTGCCATGGGATTCATCCTTTAATTACCTAAGTCATTCACTTAGAAACACAAAATGAGAGTGTGTTCTTGGCAGGGCTTTGCGGGTGCGGAAGAAGACCGGGGGCGAGAAGATGCCGGTGCAGATGATTGGGGACATCCTGGCCGCTGAGCTGTCCCACATGCAGGCTTACATCAGGTTCTGCAGCTGCCAGCTTAATGGAGCAGCTCTGTTACAGCAGAAGACAGATGAAGACACAGATTTCAAAGAATTTTTAAAGGTAATTCCATTCTGGGCCTTGCGGGTCAGGCTCCTTCTGAGGCTGGAGGCAACAGCACACAGTAGCCCAACAGGGAATCCCAGCAATGGAGAAGGGCATCCCCATCAGTTTCCAAAGGAAACACCAAAACGGCAGAGAATTTTCCGATTGTTTTGTGTTGCCTTTATGTAGACCTGATTTTTTCCTGGCACTGGGACCATCATTTTTTCCCCATCTGATAGCAGAGTGTTTTTTTTTAAGCATACTTACTTATCAGCTACTTTATACTCCCAAGAAACAACCAGAATGTCACTTTCTTAATTTTGTAAATTGCCTTCATTTAATACCTGCCTTATTCCAGAAAGAGTATAAAATAGCTTACTCTTTTTTTTTTTTTTTTTTTTAAACAGAATCTTGCTCTGTTGCCCAGGCTGGAATGCAGTGGTATGATCTTGGCTCACTGCAACCTCTGCCTCCCAAGTTCAAGAGATTCTCCTACCTCAGCCTCCAAAGTAGCTGGGATTACAGGCATGTGCCACCACGCCTGGCTAATTTTTGTATTTTTAGTAGAGACGGGGTTTCACCATGTTGGCCAGGTTGATTTCGAACTCCTGACCTCAGGTGATCGGCCCACCTTGGCCTCCCAAAGTGCTTGGATTACAGGTGTAAGCCACCGTGCCCGGCCCTAAAATAGCTTACTCAAATATATAAAATGCAACAAGATAAAATTTAAAATAACTAGATGAATAAACTTGGACAAAAGGAAATGAGAGTAGGAAACAAAGACGATACCAGGAATTAGGATAATATATAAAATGCATATCTGTGATCCTGTAAATATACCAGAAGTGTGCACAGATGTCATCAAAGCTTCCAGAAACTGATGAGCAGAAGAAGAAAGGATCAGTTCCGTGATGCCACGTCACAAGTTAAACATGAGAAGTAAAGCTACAGCTGTACTCAGAGAGAGAACACTGTGTATAATGTAATGAGTCAACAACATCCTTCGTACAGGTTATTATAATAGAAAGTCATATTTTGAGAAGTTATTTGCATTGATGTTGTTCAGTAGTAGAAACTATTATTATACCTGTTAAAATGGTGAGGAAATTGAAAGTAAAATCTGTTTTCTTGCTTTTTTTCATATTTCCTGTTGGGTTTTTTTGTTCATGAAATACTGCATATTGGGATATATTAAACAGCCATATCAGTACTTAAGGAGAGTATATAATTTAAATATTTTCATTATCAGAAAAGAGTAGAAAGTAAGAATAAAATATAAAGATGTTTAGGCAGAGAATAGAAATTAGAAAAGGAAAATGGAGGAAGTAATAAAGGTAAAAAGCACAAATTATATCAATATATCCAAGAACTGTTATATTGAAGAGAGGTAATAAAATGTAACTGATGAATCTAATAGAGAAAGAGGAAAAAACACAAGTAACAGAATGGATGTAAGGAGATCTCTTAAATTAAAGTGCATGTAATTCCAAAAGACATGCTAACAAATGTGAAAACATGAACAAAATTTGTAATTTTCTATTAAAACTTGAAAACTGGCTCAATAAGAATAGAAAATCTTTTAAAAATAGAAAATCTTACTATTACGATACTATACACCAAGGAGAAAATTGAGAAACTTACCCCAAAAAGGAGCTGGGTTCACTTGATGGATTTAACAGGGAATTCTCTCCAACTCTAAAGGAACAGATTATTCTATATTATACAAACTGTTACAGATCATAGGAAAAAGTAAAAAGGTCACCTAATTCATTCTATAAAGCAAAAGTAGCCATGATTCCAAGGCCTGTTTAAGTTAAAACCCACTATCATTTACAAATACAGCTGTTAAACTCTTAATTAAAGTAACAATTCATAAAATTAAGCATTACATGAAAAGAAGAGCCTATCATAACCAAATAGGATTATCTCAGGAGGCTATAGCATACTATGCTTAGAACAAGACAGGCTTCAGAATCTCGGCCCCGTCACTGTCTAATTGTGTGACCAGAGGCAAGTTATTTAACATGTGGGTGCCTTCAGTCCCCTCATCTATAAAAGGAGATTATCACACAGTACTTTTAAAGGACTTTAACTCAGAGACCAACACATTACTATTAGCATTCAATAAATGATTATCGTATTTTTCCTTACGATGATCTCAGGGATGCAAAAATGATTCAATATAAGGCAGTGAGGACAGAGCCCTTCGATTTGTGATAAGGGTAGGAGGCAGGGAGTTGCCTCGAAATGAACTGGAAGAAACATGGAAACCAAGACCATAGAATTAAACATTCATCAGAATAATGAGATAAACTGAGAATTGTTAGTATATGTGCATGTTTTAAAATAATGATGTAAATAGGATTTCAAAGTCATCACAATTGTAACAGTAGTCAAAATAAATAAAAATACTGCCTCATGAAAGGCCTGCTATAGGTTACCTTAAAAAGCAAAATCTAGCAATAAGCTGTGTTCTAAAATGTTACTTTTTAAAAAGACTCAGAAAATATGGAAATAAGAAGCACGAAGATGCTTGTGACAGCAACCTATATAGATACGGCCAAAACAAAAGGGGGGCAATTTAAATATCCAGTAGTGGGGAAATGATGAGGTGGATTACAGTGAGTGTACTTTTCAGTCATTAAAAGCTGCCATCCTAGAGCAGCAGCTGCTGTCTTCAGGCAGTGTACCAGAGCTAGGGGTAGAGGCAAGTAGGATGTGGGCCCTGGGCCTGGCGTTCACAAATCGGGTGTGGAATAGAGACACTGCAACACGATGCCTCTCCCTGTATCACCTGGTGCACATGTGGTGTATGCTAAAGGTGGCCAGGGAGGGTCATGGAAAGGAGGGAAGGTGTCCCAGGGGAGAGCCTGGACAAGGGGAAGCAGGGCCTGAGTCTTGAGGGTCAAGTGTGAATCAGCTCCGAGAAGAGAGGGCAGGGGACAGTCCCAGCACAGGTCATGGGAAAGAGCTGAGGAGCATCCGCTGGGCTTGGCACATGAGCTGAGATATTCCTACTGTGAACCTAATAGGTATCATTTTAGATCCTGAGTTATTTAAAAGAAAGTCGAAGCCCCCTCACTTTACTACAGTGCGACATATCAGTGTAGCAAAATTACACTTGTATGTTGTGAATATACACAAATTTTAAAATAAAAATAAAAAATAGAACACTCACCTAAAAAAAATTCTAAAACAGTAAGACAGGGAGAAACATAAATAAATAAAAGAAATGTGAAATCTAAAAGGCGATCAAAGACCAGTGCTTCCTGTGATCGGAGCTGTGATTTCCTCACGAGCCTCACTGTTGTTTTGCAGAAGCTGGCATCTGACCCGCGGTGTAAAGGAATGCCCCTCTCCAGCTTCCTGCTGAAACCCATGCAGAGGATCACCCGCTACCCACTGCTCATCAGAAGTGTGAGTGTGCAGGCCGGGCAGTGGGGTCTGAGTTAGGAGCAGGATGCGCTGAGGTCCACAGAGGCCAGATCCTCAGGGAGCCCTGAGCATGCCACCTCACCCTGCACACAGTGTGACACCGCACAAGTGATCCCACTGTCCCGGGGACCAGATGCCTGTGTGTGTGTGTGCACAGAAACACGCTGAATCCTTGAAGTGGGCAAATCAGAGAGGAATCCAGTATCACTTGGGTAACCTGTCACCCACCTTTCAAGAAACTCCCCAGCATCTCAAAGTCATAAGTATACTTGTCCAGGCAGGGAAAGGCCCCTCTAGGTCTCCAGTTGTGGAGCCCATCTTGAACCCAGAGAAAGACCAGAGTAACCTTAGACTCCAGTCTTTCCTCTGAGATCTGCCTCCATCCACCCTGAACACCTTTCCTAGATGTCCCAGGAGGCTCCACTTGGCACATCATAAATAGAGTTCATTTGTGTCCCTCGCTGTATTCGGCTTCAACATTCCTTCTAAAATTCCTTCCAGCTTTCTTTTTGATAAGCAATAGGGCCCTCTTGAGCCCATAAGCCTTCTAAGGAAAAGGCAGACTTTACAAAAGATTATCCCACGATTAACCATTGATTACAGTAACTTACAAAGAAAAGCAGCAGGAATATGATAAGCTTGTTACTTCTATTGATGATTCCTTGACTTTTGGTCTGTTAGCTGTGTGACCTCAACATAGACCTCATGTGATAGACGCCTGCACTAAACTGAACCATAATGCAGGTTCACAGCCCCTTCATTGAAATACTTGGGGCCAGATGTGTTTCAGAATTCGGAATGTAGCTCAAATACCATATAATATATGACTCCTCAACTGAGCCTTAGGGTAGCACTTACAACCAGACACACTAATATTCCTACAGTGGAACATAAGAACAATCACTGTAAGAGTAAGTAAATATATCTCTTCTGTTTAGGTCAGATTTTGCCACCAAATGGGTACTGAATAAAAACTTTAGGCTCTCAGGCTGTTCTGCATTTTAGAATTGTAAATGAAGGACTGTGCACTCATCTGACTAGAGTGAGAGAGTCCAGACGGGGCATCTGGTGATGGCTCCTAATTTCTGGAGGGACCACACACGTTTGTATTCTGGCCTCTGCGCGTTCACAGTTGCAGCATGCGTCGTTTGAAATCGCTTCAGAATGAACAGAATGCATTTCTTCCACATGCTGACAATGTGATTTTATTGTATTTTTCCTGTGGCATGGGAGTCATTGCTTTCATCAGATTTTTTTCAAAAGGATCAGTGACCCCAAAATTGTTATGAACCATTGCTATTCAGCAAGTTCACACTTACCACAGCTGCAGCCAGTTTATACAGGAGGGCGCACCCTTACATGGCTTAAATTTCGGAAGGAGTCGGGAGGCTCCCGCCTATTACCGGGAGCCAGTCGGAGAGCAACCAGAGACCCACACAGTTCAGAGCACTTGATCCGTTTAGCACTGTCACCTTGTCACAGCAGCGTTACCTGTCCCTGTGTCCCCAAGAACTTGTGGGAGTACGAGTTTCTCAAGGGCGGAAAGTGTCGTCTTGTTCACCGCCGCGTTTCCAGGGCATGGAAGCAGTCCATAACATGGGGTTGGAGGAGCGGTCCTGCGAAGGTCCAGGTGGGCAGGTGAGAGACGCAGCTCCCCCATGTGACACTGCCCACTCTTTTCCAGATTCTGGAGAACACCCCGGAGAGCCATGCAGACCATTCCTCCCTAAAGCTGGCCCTCGAGCGGGCAGAGGAGCTGTGCTCTCAAGTGAATGAGGGAGTTCGGGAGAAGGAAAACTCGGACCGACTGGAGTGGATCCAGGCGCACGTGCAGTGTGAAGGCCTCGCGGAGGTCAGGCCTGTGTGGTTAAGCCGTGCGCCTCCAGGGAGGCTCTGGGTGGGGAACCAGCTCCGAGCCTTCCCTCACGTGGACAGTCTGCACCTTAGGCAGCCTGCGTGGACTCACCACCCTGCCCCTGCAAAGGCATTTTTTTTTCTTTTTTTTTTTTTTTTTTTTGAGACGGAGTCTCACTCTGTTGCCCAGGCTGGAGTGCAGTGGCGAGATCATCTCGGCTCACTGCAAGCTCTGCCTCCCGGGTTGGAGCGATTCTCTGGCCTCCATCTCCCAAGTAGCTGGGACTACAGGCATCTGCTACGATGCCCAGCTAATTTTCGTATTTTTAGTAGAGCTGGGGTTTCACCATGTTGGCCAGGCTGGTCTTGAACTCCTGGCGTCAAGTGATCCTCCCGCCTCTGTCTCCCAACAGTGCTGGGATTGCAGGCATGAAGGGCATTCCTTCTTGGATTGTCATCTTCCTTTCTCCTAAGGAGAGAACACTGGGATTTTTTGTTTTGAGTTCTTTGAATTCAGCTGGTAGAATCAGTGTTCTGTGGCTAGAAGTAATGATTTTCACTGGGCCAGTTTGGACTCTGAAGAGTAATGTATTTAAGGATCTTTCATGCAAAGTGAATGATTCTAGCCACATTCCCACCTAGAAAACTCCACCACAGTATCCTCAGGCCCAGGGCACTGGCCTCTCAGGGGCACTGGATGGTTTGTGCCGGGATTTAAAAAGTGAAATTTTCTTTCTCTTTAAGCAACTTATTTTCAACTCTCTCACCAACTGCCTGGGGCCCCGGAAGCTCTTACACAGTGGGAAATTATACAAGACCAAGAGCAACAAGGAACTGCACGGATTCCTCTTCAATGACTTCCTGCTTCTTACCTACATGGTCAAGCAGTTTGCTGTTTCCTCTGGCTCTGAGAAACTTTTCAGCTCGAAGTCCAATGCTCAATTCAAAATGTATAAAACGGTGAGTATCACGCGTCTGGGGGTAGCATCAGGGGCCTAATGAGGTGTTGCCTCTATCTTAAGGCCTTCCTGGCAGACCCTGAGCTGGCCTTACGGGACCCTCCTCACCTGGTTCCAGATCGCTCGTGCTTCCTTTGCTGCTTCCCACGGGAAGGGCCCCATGCAGCTGGGCACTCCCCACCTGCCACAGGCCATCAGCCAGATTCCAGCTGAGATTCTGGCTTCCTCCTGGCCAGCGTGACACCTGGGCTCACCACTGTGTGCATTCAGCATTGGGTCTCTGTAAGCCGAGCCCCAGCACAGCACCAGCGTTGCTAGCAGAGAGCCTTTTGCACCAGCCGTCATGGGCGCTTGGAGCTCCTGTCCCCACCCAGTCCCAACACCTGACCCACCTCGATAATGACTTTTCCAGAAATGGAGGCTTCATTGTTCTTACAAATGGAGGTTTCATTTGTTCTGTGTAGAAGACCTTAGACGCTAGACCCCTTTCTCCTTCTCAACAAGGCTCTTCAGAACAAACAGAACTCTCTCTGGACATAGGCGGGTGGAGTGTTCTAGCCCATCTCACAGCCTGTGTTTTGGCCCTAATTCTTTCAGCCCATTTTCCTGAATGAAGTCTTGGTGAAACTGCCCACAGACCCTTCCAGCGATGAGCCTGTCTTCCACATTTCCCACATTGATCGGGTCTACACCCTCCGAACAGACAACATTAATGAGAGGTCAGTCCTGACCATGTGTGGCCTGCCTTGAACTCTGGGAGAAGGCCTGGACGTCTCCCTCTGCCATAAACCCATCTCCAGCCGTGCTTAAGCCCCACTAATTCTGTATCCTGAACCTCTCTTAACACATCCCCTCTGCTCCAGTCCCATGGTAGGCCTTGGTCACTGCAGCTGCCTCCTAACATGCTTCCCGGCTTCTAGTCTCTCCCCACACCACTCAGCAGCCTTCCCAAATGGCAGATCAGCACCTGAGGCCCTGCTACAGTCCCTGCAGGGGCTGCCCGCAGGCGACAGCCCACTGTGCTTTGCTGGTTTCCGAGGCCTCCTTGGGCCACAGGCCTCAGCCCTCGTCCCTCCACCTGCAGACTTTCGCCCCTCAGGCGCCCTTGTGTGGGTGCCATCCCCGCTGTTCCCAGCTTCCTTCAGGCTGCAGCTCCAACAGTGCCTCCGCGGCGCCAACCCGGGGGGTGCTGCTGCTCCTCTGTGTGCGCTAGAACCCCTCGTGACAGGTATCATCCGTGGGGCCAATGCATCATCTGTCTCCAGGTCCCAGCGCCTTGCGAGTGCCTGGCATTTTGTGGTCAGCCAAGAAGGGTCACTACCAGCTCTCATACTCCATTAGCATAAGCATCTTTCAGTTGACTAATATCAGGTCTTTGATAGGAAACTTGTGAAAGTTGAGGTTAGCAAAAGACTGAAGAACATGTGCAGAGCTCTGGGGCTCCACGCTGACCTGTGAGGGTGGGATGCGGCCAACGGCTGCCCCTGCTTCTCCCGTAGGACCGCCTGGGTGCAGAAGATCAAGGCGGCGTCTGAGCAGTACATCGACACCGAGAAGAAGAAGCGTGAGAAAGCTTACCAAGGTATCAGGGTGCCCGGAGGGTGGGACGCAGCCCCCAGGGGCCCTAGGAATGCCGGCCACTGCTCCTGCAGTCAGGCTGATGATATAGGGACGGGTCTGAAAGACCAGACCTGCTGCGGGATCAGACCAGAGAGCCCTCCCCTCTTGAAGCTACTACTGCAAACCTCCCTGGGGCTCCTGCCCACACAGACACGGGCTGGCAGTGCCAGCTCCGGGACCTCCCTCTCTGCACCACCTCTATCCCCCCCACTCCACTGCACCTTCTCCACTCCTTTCTCTCCATGACTCACCTCACCTCTGCTTGGGCTGTGGTGCTCCATTACATGCCACACCTGTGGTCTGTCTCCCTTCAGCTCCTGAGCAGCCACTGCTCCTCCTCACCCTCCTCTAGGGCCTGCCATCCACCCTCTCCCTTTGCAGCCAGGGGGCCTAGACCCTAAGTCTGCCCTCTCCCCATCCTTCTGCCCCTGCCTCCTCCCCCTTCTCACTTCACCAGACTTCAGTCCACGTCCTGTCCCCACCAGTGACACCAGTGGCCTAGTTAGTGGCTCAGCTCACTTTCCCTGCCCCAGCTCCCTGCACTGATGGCAGTCACTGAGGCGCTGCCTTCCCTCTGGACCCCATGGCCGCCTTCCCAGTTCTTCTTCCACCCTTGCCCAGGCCTCTCCCCGACCTCTGTAGCGCTCTCCCTCGGGGACCCCACCGACCCCCAGCTTCAGGGTCAGGCTAGCCACACTCTCCCAAGCCCGCGCCTCTGAACAGCACCCTCCAGAGAACCACCTGCCCCGCTGCTCCCACATCACACATCGGCTTTTCCCAAGGGACCACCAGCCTCCTTCCAGCAGCAGCTCCTCCTGGGACCCTCTGTGGACAGTAGTGTGGTCCCTGGCCACCCAGGCCCCTCCCTGGCACCTCACACCTGGTCAGCTGCACTGCAGTCCTCCTCCCTCGCCACTTTCCCATCGCCCTTTCCTGTCCCCGTATCACAGGCCCCCGATCTCCCACCCAGGCTGCAGCACAAGGCTCTCTTTCCTCTCTGCCACCCATCCTCTTCATTTCTGGAGTATTCTTTTTTCCAGAGCTGCTCTTATACCTCTTCCTGCTGAAGTATCTTCCCTATTGCCTCCCAAATTAACGACACATTTCTTACCCCACACTCAGGGCCCATCCCCACTACTACCTGCCACCCAGCCCCATCCCTAGCTCTTTCCTGTGCCCGGCCCATCCAGCTGCCTAGTTGAGCAGCCCATTGTTGCCCTGCCTGGCCTTCCCATGTGAGCTCCCCCTCCAGCTCAAGTGCTCTGCCCTCACCTTAAATTCTTCCCATCCTTCAAGGCCCACGTCAAACACAGCCTCCTCCATGACACCCTCTTGCCCTAACCAGTGTGACTTCTACCTGGACCCCCCGCTGTCCTGAGGCTGCGATCATCCTCCGGGCGCTCATCCTCTGTTGCCTCTGCTTGCGCCCTCTCAGTCCCTGCTTTTCTCACTTAATGGCCATAAGCTCCCTCAAGGCAACTCCCTCCCACATCGGGGCCAGCATGTGACTTATGCCAGTGGGGCTCCAGATTTGTTGCACCGGTGATGTCCTCTGTGTTCATGGCACAGATCACTCACCTGCTCAGTGGAGCCGCAATGGTCT
This sequence comes from Homo sapiens, assembly GCF_000001405.40. Classification (NCBI taxonomy): domain Eukaryota; kingdom Metazoa; phylum Chordata; class Mammalia; order Primates; family Hominidae; genus Homo; species Homo sapiens. The sequence continues at coordinate 24,206,595 of NC_000002.12, read as the reverse complement.
TTGTAAAGCACCCCCCACCCCACCCTGCCCCACCGTGGCCTTCAGACCAGAGCTCCCACATTCTTCTCCAGCCTCCACATGAATGCCAGGCCCCAACCTCCCTGCTGCATCTCCAGCTGTGCCAGGCCAGCCTGTGGCCTCCACCCCACAGGGGGCCTGTGCTCTGAGCCAGCTGCATCTCCACCTTCCTCCCCGCCGGCCCCCTGCATCTCCACCTTCCTTCCCGCCGGGCCCCCCCATGCAGCCTGCCCTCCTGCCTGGGCCTCCCACCAGCTTCCTGGCTGCTATAGTTGCAGCTCTTTATGTGTTTTTTTATTCAGGTTTCCCCCATTTTGTTATATACTCCTAAAAGGTATGTTTAAAACAGCTTTTGCTAATTTAGTGTTATTTTAATGGTACTTTAAAAGCTTGCTGTTGAAAAATCAATGATTGATCATTTCATAACGCATATGATCTCTTAATTGGCCAAAGATGTCAATCCGGTTTTTCTGCCTGAGTTTTGCTTCCCATCAGCATCTGCATATGTTGCTGTGCATCGTCCGTGCGTTCAGTCCTTCCCACATTTGTCAATTACTTTGTGCCAGGCTCTGTGCTAGGCTTAACTGAGCCTGGACTTTGGTATCTGATGTTTAAATGTTGACCCTGCCATTTAGCAGCTCTGAGTGGATCACACTCCAGTCCTTTCTAAGCCTCAGTGTTTCTCATCAGTAAAATGGGGAGCTACATTATCAGGTAATTATGCAGTTTAAATAATATAATTTACATAAGTCTAGCACATGCCTAACACAAAGTAAGTATCCAGTAAATGTTAGCTGCTATTAAGTGCTGCACAAATACCATGTATTATTTTATTAATATTACTATTTGCTAGGCAATTGAGGGGTTAATATAAGGATGATCGAAACAGTCCATGCTCTACCCTGGCTCCTGTCTGGCAGAGGAGACAGACATTACACACGATTTCAGACCCAGCAGGCTGTGGGCTGCTCATAAGCGAGGGATACTGGATGCAGAGGAGGGAAGGGATCTGGGAGGTAGATGTGGGATCAGACCTGCATCTTGAAGGATGAGTAGGATGCTGACGGGCAGAGAAAGCAGGCAGGGCAGAAAGAGCAAGCAGGGGCTTCCTAGCAGGCAACACAGCCTGGGGAAAGGCACAGGGCAGCCAGATGCTGGGCTGTTGGGCCCAGGGCAGTGGCAGATGGGGACAGGGAGCCGGTAGTGTTATGGTTGGTTTGAAAGACAGGGTCTGCATCCTTGGAGAAGAGATTAATGAGACTTGTCTTCCTCTTTTGTAGCCCGCTCCCAAAAGACTTCAGGCATTGGGCGCCTGATGGTGCATGTCATTGAAGCTACAGAATTAAAAGCCTGCAAACCAAATGGTAAATACTGCCTTGATTCATTCAGCAGACATAACTGCCCTGCCCCAGTTTTTGCTGATGACTTTTTGAGACAGAGTCTCAGTGTATAACCTAGGCTGGAGTGCAGTGGCACGATCTTGGCTCACTGCAACCTCTGCCTCTGGGGTACAAGTGATTCTCAAGGCTTAGCCTCCTGAGTAGCTGGGATTACAGGTGTGCACCACCACGCCTGGCAAATTCTTGTATTTTTAGTAGACACAGGGTTTCACCATGTTGGCCAGGCTGGTCTCGAACTCCTGACCTCAAGTGATCTGCCCGCCTCGGCCTCCCAAAGTGCTGGGATTACAGCACTTTGTCACTGACAAAGTGCCACTGCGCCCAGCCACTGATGACTCTTCTGAACACTGAATAAAGGAATGCTTTCTAACAGTGTGTCCAGTGCCACTAAAATGCGCATATTGGACCAATATTCTTATCACTGTTTTCCCAGTAAGTGCCAGTGCCCGCCTTCCCGAGTGTGTCTGCGCCGAGGAAGCATGCAGCAGGTTGCAGTGACACTCACCCAGGATTGTTCCGTGCGGAGTGGTCCTGGCGGTGGAGCTCTCGGCCACTCCCCAGTTAATGCTGCTGTCAGCACTGGGAACTTGGAGACCCTGTTACTAGACCACAGGGATATGGTGCCCCAGGCAGCGGCTCCTGCTGCCATGGTCTCGAGTGACCCATTATTGGAATCCTGCTTCTGCTCAGGGAGGGCACTGTCAGTCGCTTCGTTTTACCTGCATGCACCACATGTGTCTGTGGTTTGTTTTTGTTCAGGAAAGAGCAACCCATACTGTGAAATCAGCATGGGCTCCCAGAGCTACACCACCAGGACCATCCAGGACACACTCAATCCCAAGTGGAATTTTAACTGCCAGTTCTTTATTAAGGATCTCTACCAAGACGTGCTGTGTCTCACCCTGTTTGACAGAGACCAGTTTTCACCAGATGGTAAGTGTCGCTCAGCCAGGGGATCTAAAGGCTTTCCCAGTTTCCTAGATCCTGGAGTCCAGATCTAGGGGCTTCAGCTGTGTGCAGACCCCATGCCACTTCAGGGAAGTGACACAGGCCTGTGTCATCTCGCTTTGGCAGCAGGTGGGTGGCCTTCCTCAGGGGAGGAGGTGGCCTGAGATGTGTTTCAGGTCTTTGACCCATCACTCCCTACACACACGACGTGAACACCACTCCTGGAGCATTCTCAGAATGGAGATTTGAATTCCATGTGGCAGCTTCTCACACACAAACCTGCCATCATTCCCCACACACCCACTCACGACATTCAACAGCCATGAGCCAAAAGAAGTTCCTTGTTTCAGATTTGAAGGTTTTATGAATCCACTTCTTCCGGATGTAGCTCTTTAATGATTTTATAAAGAAGAAAGACTTCTGACTCTCCTGTGTTTATTCACCAGATTTCCTGGGTCGTACTGAAATTCCAGTGGCAAAAATTCGAACAGAACAGGAAAGCAAAGGCCCTATGACCCGCCGACTGCTGCTGCATGAGGTCCCCACCGGGGAGGTCTGGGTCCGTTTTGACCTGCAGCTTTTTGAGCAAAAAACTCTCCTGTAGGGGTTCTAAAGGACAGCACCAGCGGGACAGCCCACAAGGCTGGGGCTGGAGAATGAGAGACTGCGCTCTCTTGGGGCTGAGGGAGCACCATGCAGCTTCACCCCTCACAAAGCCATGCACGCTGGGGGCTCTGTTTTCCTGCACACTAAATAGCTAGCAATCTATGCAAACACCTTTCCCATAAAGAAACCAAACCCCATAGTACAGTGCCTTGTCCTAGTGTTCACATGTTCAGCTCTGTTTGTTTAGATGCCAAGGTTTCCATTTTCAGGGCTATAAAAAGTATTACTTGGAAATGAGGCATCAGACCACCAGATGTTACCGCTCGGTTGAATGTGTCCACCGTGGAGTGGTTTGGTGACGCTGTAACCATTCCACGCCAGTGACCTCTGCTGGGTCACAGCCACTCAGGAGGGGAAGGGTCAGGATGAGAGGCTGCAGCCTCGACACTTGGCGCGGCCTGATACTGAAATAGCGTCTACTCGTGCACTGAATAAAAACAGAAACTTGATCATTTTATTCCTGATTAGATTTTATCACTCTCTGCTAAGACAATATAGTCTGGAGTATAAGTGGGAAAGCTTGATTTAAATACTGTGAACTCTAATAATGTGGAAAATATTTTTCAACTTTAATTTTCTGAAGTATAAATTATTTATGTAAATTCATTGTTTTTGCATATTTCTTAGGACATGCATCTTTAAGCTTTATCATTGCCCATATGTACAGAAAGAGAATAAAGACATATGTTTATGGATGGAACTTCGTCAAAGTCTGACTGATTTACTTTCTATATGAAAGCTGCTTTTTTTCTTTTTAATTTTCTCAGCCAGATGAAAGGCTCTTAAAAGGTACCTTCACAAGTTGCCTATAATGAAACCAAGTTTCCTTCCTGGTACGTGGGAAAACCAAGGACAGAGTGAGGATGAGGTCAGGAGACCCAGGGCCTCATCTTGACTCTGCCACTAATTTGCTCTGTGACTTTGGTGAATCTACCTCGTGTTTCTGGGGCTGGGTTTCTTTAATGGGTGAAATGGATGATCTCTGTGGGAGCTACTGACCCTCCTTCAGCTTGCCTCATCGAGTGATAACCTGAGGGTAACTTACAGCAAAGAAATGCACACAGGTCTTACACACTAAACCCAGTAAAAACTGGGAAAAGATCTGCCCCCCCCCTTTTTTTTTTTTTTTTTTTTTTTTTGAGACAGTGTCTCACTCTGTCGCCTAGGCTGGAGTGCAGTGGTTTGATCTCAGCTCACTGCAACCTCTGCCTCCTGGGTTCAAGCAATTCTCCTGCCTCAGCCTCCTGAGTAGCTGGGACTACAGGCGCCCACCACCATACCCAGCTAATTTTTGTATTTTTAGTAGAGACGGGGTTTCACCATGTTGGCCAGGCTGGTCTCAAACTCCTGACCTCAAGTGATCCGCCTGCCTGAGCCTCCCAAAGTGCTGGGATTACAGGCATGAGCCACTGTGCCCGGCCAGATAAGTCCTTTTGAAGGAATCATTTGAATTGCTAGGGCCCTGATTTCTAAGGGAGCAGGTCTCCAGGCAACTAGAGGAACAAGGAAGGATTCAAATGTCCCAAGGGCTTGGGCCTCCACCCTAGCCCCCGCTTCTGTTTAAACATAATTGCTGGGCAAAGGACTGGGAAACAGAACCGGCACATTCAGATTTAAAAATCCATCACTCACTCAGGTATAGATCCTGGGCACTGATTGGTTAAAATATAGACATAAAAAAGGTAAGAGATGTCACTGGATATATGAAACCTAAACAACTGAACATATTGCTTGCTTGTGGGAAAGTGGGTAGTCAGGCCCAGTCTCACGGAGCAGAGTGAACTGCTGGCTGTCTCTAGGGTTGGGGCTTGTTGGTCACAAGGCCAGCCTGGCTGATGTCAGCAGCAAGGCTGCCCTGATGACTCAAAACCAGCTCTAGGCTTACTGGGAACGAGAGCTACGGAACCGTCCTGTGTTCCCAGGGCTGCGGGGACCGTAATCCTCACTGTGGCGAGTGCCATTTCTCCACTGCTAGATACGACAGGACTTTTTGGTCAGATTTAGGGCAGAGGAGCATCAGGACCAGAGTCAGACAACCTCTATGAAACCACGGACCACACGGAGCATCGGCGCACCCGGCCACTCCAGCTGTCCCCTTACGCCTAGGAACGCACACCTGCCCCTTTAGAAATCAAATGTAAGCCTGACTTTTGGGAGGATGTGGGGTGTGCCTGAGTCTCCATACCCCGAGTCTCTATCCCGAGTCTCCATACCCCGAGTCTCCATACCTGAGTCTCCGTACCCCAAGACTCCATACCCCCGAGTCTGTACCGCCTGAGTCTCTGTACCGCCTGAGTCTATGTACCTCCACCCCAGCAGGACCTGGCATATGTGCCTCATGCGCCCAGACATCTCCCCTCTGCTGAGAACCCCCCTCAGCAGGTCCCTCCAGTGCTCTTCAGGAACAGGTGCCATGGCCGGGGAGGGGCACTCCGCTCTCTTAAAAGGCAACCCAAATTGTGAGCAATTTGATGACCAAGTCTGAGTGCATGTGAGGAGGGGATAAATGTGTTGTGTGGCACCTGAGGGACTGGCCTGAGAGAACACTGCCACCTCTGAGCTAGGGGACTGCCACCTCTGAGCAGCTCACCAAGCCTCAGAGCATTGTGTGTTGGGAGAGGATAATACTATCTTACTGCGAAAACTTTTCAGTGAACAAAGTACCTCACAGGGTTCCTGGTTCACAACAGGAGCTCAATAAATAAGAACTCCTGTGATTTGGGTATTTCTTGCAATTTATTTCCACTTCTGGAGGAAGAAAATATGTTTAGAGTATTTTAACTGCTGTACAGACACTGCCAAGTCAAGTCCACGAAGCTTCAGTACCAAGGGTGGCCCTGCCTGGCCACCTTCTGCAGGGAGGCCAGGTGCTGCCCCAGCACCTCAGCTGTCATCACTCTTTTTCCCACAGGCTGGGGACCCCTGTGCTGTTGGCTGTCCCCAGCAGCCCAGGAACGGGGTCTCTGCTGTCTGGTTCCTAAAACCTAGTGACAGAAGAGAAGGACTAAGTGTGGTGCAGGGATGCGGGGCTTACAGGTGCAGCGAGGACCCCCGCTGACTCTGCCCCACACTCAGCCCTCCTGCTGGAGCTAAGACTCCCGTTTCAGGCAGGTTTCCAGCCGGCCCTCTTGCTTTACCTCTCTCTCTCTCACTCTGTCTGGTTCCTGCCAACTCTCAGACAAGGCTGTCTGTATCTTTGAACTCCACAAATAACTAATCTTTTTGTGGTATGTACAGCAGAGATGACCAGCTGTCCACAAAATGCTCTCCTGCCATTGTAGGCAGACCAGCCATGGAATACTTTTCCCCATGCTCCTTCACCCTACAGTTAGGAACAGACATGGAACTGGGTCCAGCCCAGGGAACATCAGAGGAAATGACATGCCGCCTCCAGCCCGGCCCACATACACCTGACTCCCAGGAAGAACTCATCCACGATCTCTTCCCTTTTCAGGTTGATAGGAATGAGTTCCCAGTGCAACCTCGGAAGCCAGGTGCTGAAGATGACACAGGCCCATGAGATAGGATCCGAAAGACCGCACCGAGAGGGACAGCCTGCTGACCCACTGGGACAGTGCCAGGACATAAGCAAAACTTAACTGCTACTGCATTTAAACCTCAGTCCACTTGGGTCTACTAGTGTAGCCCACCCAACCATTAAGGGTAGAACTGACCACAGTCACATTAAGATCTGATATAAACAAGTGGGACTATATCAAACTAAAAAGCTTCTGCACAGCGAACAAAAAGGCAACCTACAGAAAGGGAGAAAATATTTCCAAACCATGTATCAAATAAAAGGTTAATATCCAAAATATATAAGGAACTCATTCACCTCAATAGCAAAAAAGTGAGTAACCCAATTTAAAAATGAGGACAGAGCCTGAACAGAGATTTTTCCAAAGCCTCCTTCCTGCCTCCCTAGAAATGTACAGATGGTCAACAGGTATATAAAAAGGTGCTCAACGTCACTAATCATCAAGGAAATGCAAATCAAAACCACAATGAGATGTCACCTCACACCTGTTAGGTTGGCTATTATGAAAAAGTCGAAAGATAACAAGCCTTCCCTTGTATGGGACTGTTAGATAAGAGTTCTACATTTATTTTCAAAGGATATGTCAGTATGTTCAATTATTTGGCTTCTACTTTCAAACTTCCTCGTAAAGCAACCTTTTTCAATTACCTGCTCCACCCTGACTCATTCTGATCACCTGCTCCACCCTAACTCATTCCAATTACCTGCTACCTGCTCTGCCCGGACTCCCGCCAAAGTGCTCACCCCATCACTCTCTTTAAATTCGCCAGTTGGAATTAGTTTAGCCTGTGCGGTCTAACCCTGGCCAATAGGGGAATGACACAGCCGCAGGGGCCACGTGCGTCAGGGATAAGAACCCTTTCTCCTCCCTTGTCCAAGTGTGCGCCCACCATTGCTCCATCTGTAAGGGCGCACCCTTCTACATAGAAGTATCTTGCCTTGGGGCTGGGTGCAATGGCTCACACCTGTAATCCCAGCACTTTGGGAGGCCAAGGCAGGCGGATCATGAGGTCAGGAGATTGAGACCATCCTGGCTAACACAGTGAAACCCCGCCTCTACTAAAAATAAAAAAAATTAGCCGGGCGTGGTGGCAGGCACCTGTAGTCCCAGCTACTTGGGAGGCTGAGGCAGGAGAATGGTGTGAACCTGGGAGGCAGAGCTTGCAGTGAGCCGAGATCAGTCACTGCACTCCAGCCTGGGTGACAGAGTGAGACTCCGTCTCAAAGAGTACAATGGGGACAGTAAATTTAGATAGCCATTACCAATTTTAGTTAGTCAACAACAATAATTAGAAGTACCTTGCCTTGCTGAGAATTAAAAAGAAAATCTTAATATTCGAGTGGTATTTCTTTTGTGGCACCGAAACTTTATATATAACACGATGCTTGTCTGTTAGAAGGAAAACTAACAAACAGAAAGGACATCCACACCAAAAACCCATCTGTACGTCACCATCATCAAAGACCAAAAGTAGACAAAAACCACAAAGATGGGGAAAAAATAGAGCAGAAAAACTGGAAACTCTAAAAAGCAGAGCACCTCTCCTCCTCCAAAGGAACGCAGTTCCTCACCAGCAACAGAACAAAGCTGGACGGAGAATGACTTTGACGAGTTGAGAGAAGAAGGCTTCAGACGATCAAACTACTCTGAGCTACAGGAGGAAATTCAAACCAATGGCAAAGAAGTTAAAAACTTTGAAAAAAAATTAGACGAATGGCTACCTAGAATATCCAATGCAGAGAAGTCCTTAAAGGAGCTGATGGAGCTGAAAGCCAAGGCTCAAGAACTACGTGAAGAATGCAGAAGCCTCAGGAGCCGATGCGATCAACTGGAAGAAAGGGTATCAGTGATGGAAGACGAAATGAATGAAATGAAGTGAGAAGGGAAGTTTAGAGAAAAAAGAATAAAAAGAAACGAACAAAGCCTCCAAGAAATATGGGACTATGTGAAAAGACCAAATCTACGTCTGATTGGTGTACCTGAAAGTGACGGGAAGAATGGCACCAAGTTGGAAAACACTCTGCAGGATATTATCCAGGAGAACTTCCCCAATCTAGCAAGGCAGGCCAACATTCAGATTCAGGAGATACAGAGAATGCCACAAAGATAGTCCTCGAGAAGAGCAACTCCAAGACACATAATTGTCGGATTCACCAAAGTTGAAATGAAGGAAAAAATGTTAAGGGCAGCCAGAGAGAAAAGTCGGGTTACCCACAAAGGGAAGCTCATCAGACTAACAGCTGATCTCTCGGCAGAAACTCTACCAGCCAGAAGAGAGTGGGGGCCGATATTCAACATTCTTAAAGAAAAGAATTTTCAACCCGGAATTTCATATCCAGCCAAACTAAGCTTCATAAGTGAAGGAGAAATAAAATACTTTACAGACAAGCAAATGCTGACAGATTTTGTCACCAACCAGGCCTGGCCTAAAAGAGCTCCTGAAGGAAGCACCAAACATGGAAAGGAACAACTGGTACCAGCCACTGCAAAAACATACCAAAATGTAAAGACCATCAAGGCTAGGAAGAAACTGCATCAACTAACGAGCAAAATCACCAGCTAACATCATAATGACAGGACCAAATTCACACATAACAATATTAACTTTAAATGTAAATGGGCTAAATGCTCCAATTAAAAGACACAGACTGACAAATTGGATAAGGAGTCAAGACCCATCAGTGTGCTGTATTCAGGAAACCCATCTCACATGCAGAGACACACATAGGCTCAAAATAAAGGGATGGAGGAAGATCTACCAAGCAAATGGAAAACAAAAAAAGGCAGGGGTTGCAATCCTAGTCTCTGATAAAACAGACTTTCAACCAAGAAAGATCAAAAGAGACAAAGAAGGCCATTATATAATGGTAAAGGGATCAATTCAACAAGAAGAGCTAACTATCCTAAATATATACGCACCCAATACAGGAGCACCTAGATTCATAAAGCAAGTCCTTAGTGACCTACAAAGAGACTTACACTCCCACACAATAACAATGGGAGACTTTAACACCCCATTGTCAACATTAGACAGATCAATGAGACAGAAAGTTAACAAGGATACCCAGGAATTGAACTCAGCTCTGCACCAAGCAGATCTAACAGACATCTACAGAACTCTCTACCCCAAATCAACAGAATATACATTTTTTTCAGCACCACACCACACCTATTCCAAAATTGACCACATACTTGGAAGTAAAACACTCCTCAGCAAACGTAAAAGAACAGAAATTATAACAAACTGTCTCTCAGACCACAGTGCAATCAAACTAGAACTCAGGATTAAGAAACTCACTCAAAACCGCTCAACTACATGGAAACTGAACAACCTGCTCCTGAATGACTACTGGGTATATAACGAAATGAAGGCAGAAATAAAGATGTTCTTTGAAACCAACAAAAACAAAGACACAACATACCAGAATCTCTGGGACACATTCAAAGCAGTGTGTAGAGGGAAATTTATAGCACTAAATGCCCACAAGAGAAAGCAGGAAAGATCCAAAATTGACACCCTAACGTCACAATTAAAAGAACTAGGAAAGCAAGAGCAAACACATTCAAAAGCTAGCAGAAGGCAAGAAATAACTAAAATCAGAGCAGAAATGAAGGAAATAGAAACACAAAAAACCCTTCAAAAAAATCAATGAATCCAGGAGCTGGTTTTTTGAAAAGATCAACAAAATTGATAGACCGCTAGCAAGACTAATAAAGAAGAAAAGAGAGAAGAATCAAATAGACGCAATAAAAAATGATAAAGGGGGTATCACCACCGATCCCACAGAAATACAAACTACCATCAGAGAATACTACAAACACCTCTACGCAAATAAACTAGAAAATCTAGAAGAAATGGATAAATTCCTGGACACATACACCCTCCCAAGACTAAACCAGGAAGAAGTTGAATCTATGAATAGACCAATAACAGGCTCTGAAATTGTGGCAATAATCAATTGCTTACCAACCAAAAAAAGTCCAGGTCCAGATGAATTCACAGCCGAATTCTACCAGAGGTACAAGGAGGAGCTGGTACCATTCCTTCTGAAACTATTCCAATCAATAGAAAAAGAGAGAATCCTCCCTAACTCATTTTATGAGGCCAGCATCATCCTGATACCAAAGCCTGACAGAGACACAACCAAAAAAGAGAATTTTAGACCAATATCCTTGATGAACATTGATGCAAAAATCCTCAATAAAATACTGGCAAACTGAATCCAGCAGCACAACAAAAAGCTTATCCACCATGATCAACTGGGCTTCATCCCTGGGATGCAAGGCTGGTTCAACATATGCAAATCAATGAATGTAATCCAGCATATAAACAGAACCAAAGACAAAAACCACATGATTATCTCAATACATGCAGAAAAGGCCTTTGACAAAATTCAACAACCTTCATGCTAAAAACTCTCAATAAATTAGGTATTGATAGGACCTATCTCAAAATAATAAGAGCTATCTATGACACACTCACAGCCAATATCATACTGAATGGGCAAAAACTGGAAGCATTCCCTTTGAAAACTGGTACAAGACAGGGATGCCCTCTCTCACCACTCCTATTCAACATAGTGTTGGAAGTTCTGGCCAGGGCAATGAGGCAGGAGAAGGAAATAAAGGGTATTCAATTAGGAAAAGAGGAAGTCAAATTGTCCCTGTTTGCAGATGACATGATTGTACCTCTAGAAAACCCCATTGTCTCAGCCCAAAACCTCCTTAAACTGATAAGGAACTTCAGCAAAGTCTCAGGATACAAAATCAATGTACAAAAATCACAAGCATTCTTATACACCAATAACAGACAAACAGAGAGCCAAATCATGAGTGAACTCCCATTCACAATTGCTTCAAAGAGAATAAAATACCTAGGAATCCAACTTACAAGGGATGTGAAGGACCTCTTCAAGGAGAACTACAAACCACTGCTCAATGAACAGATACAAACAAATGGAAGAACATTCCATGCTCATGGGTAGGAAGAATCAATATCGTGAAAATGGCCATACTGCCCAAGGTAATTTATAGATTCAATGCCATCCCCATCAAGCTACCAATGACTTTCTTCACAGATTGGAAAAAACTACTTTAAAGTTCATATGGAACCAAAAAAGAGCCCACATCACCAAGTCAATCCTAAGCCAAAAGAACAAAGCTGGAGGCATCACACTACCTGACTTCAAACTATACTACAAGGCTACAGTAACCAAAACAGCATGGTACTGGTACCAAAACAGAGATATAGATCAATGGAACAGAAAAGAGCCCTCAGAAATAATGCCGCATATCTACAACCATCTGATCTTTGACAAACCTGAGAAAAACAAGCAATGGGGAAAGGATTCCCTATTTAATAAATGGTGCTGGGAAAACTGGCTAGCCATATGTAGAAAGCTGAAACTGGATCCCTTCCTTACACCTCATACAAAAATTAATTCAAGATGGATTAAAGACTTACATGTTAGACCTAAAACCATAAAAATCCTAGAAGAAAACCTAGGCATTACCATTCAGGACATAGGCATGGGCAAGGACTTCAATTACCAAAAGCAATGGCAACAAAAGCCAAAATTGACAAATGGGATCTAATTAAACTAAAGAGCTTCTGCACAGCAAAAGAAAGTACCATCAGAGTGAACAGGCAACCTACAGAATGCGAGAAAATTTTTGCAACCTACTCATCTGACAAAGGGCTAATATCCAGAATCTACAATGAACTCAAACAAATTTACAAGAAAAAAACAAACAACCCCATCAAAAAGTGGGTGAACGACATGAACAGACACTTCTCAAAAGAAGACATTTATGCAGCCAAAAATCACATGAAAAAATGCTCATCATCACTGGCCATCAGAGAAATGCAAATCAAAACCACAATGAGATACCATCTCACACCAGTTAGAATGGCGATCATTAAAAAGTCAGGAAACAACAGGTGCTGGAGAGGATGTGGAGAAATAGGAACACTTTTACACTGTTGGTGGGACTGTAAACTAGTTCAACCATTGTGGAAGTCAGTGTGGTGATTCCTCAGGGATCTAGAACTAGAAATACCATTTGACCCAGCCATCCCATTACTGGGTATATACCCAAAGGATTATAAATCATGCTGCTATAAAGACACATGCACACATATGTTTATAGCAGCACTATTCACAATAGCAAAGACTTGGAACCAACCTAAATGTCCAACAACGATAGACTGGATTAAGAAAATGTGGCACATATACACCATGGAATACTATGCAGCCATAAAAAATGATGAGTTCATGTCCTTTGTAGGGACATGGATGAAACTGGAAACCATCATTCTCAGCAAACTATCGCAAGGACAAAAAACCAAACGCTGCATGTTCTCACTCATAGGTGGGAATTGAACAGTGAGAACACATGGACACAGGAAGGGGAACATCACACTCCGGAGACTGTTGTGGGGTTGGGGGAGCGGGGGAGGGATAGCATTAGCAGATATACCTAATGCTAAATGACGAGTTAATGGGTACAGCACACCAACATGGCACATGTATACATATGTAACAAACCTGCACATTGTGCACATGTACCCTAAAACTTAAAGTATAATAATAATAAAATTAAAAAAAAAAATAACAGTACCCTTGTACACTGTTGGTGGAATGTAGATCACTACAGCCATTACGGAAAACAGCATGGAGGTTTCCAAAAAAAACTAAAAATAGAATGACCATACAATTCAGCAATCCCACTTCCAGGTGTATATACATATATTCAAAGGAAATAAAATCACCATCTTGAAGGGATATCTACACTCCCGTGTTCACTGCAGCATTATTCACAATAGCCAAGAAATGGGAACAACCTAAGTGTCTGCTGACATGAACTGGTAAAGAAAATGCATATGGTACACATACCATGGACCAATAACCCGCCTGAGAAGAGAAGGAAGTCCTGTCATTTGCAACAACATAGGTGAATGTGGAGGATGTTATGGTAAGTGAAAGAAGCCAGGCACAGAAAGACAAATACTGCCTGATCTCATATTGTCAGAGGTGTGTGAACCAGGGCAACTCCATCTTAAATAGGAGCTGGGTAAAATAAGGCTAAAGCCTACTGGGTTGCATTCCCAGACGGTGAGGCATTCTAACTCACAGGATGAGATAGGAGGTCAGCACAAAATACAGGTCATAAAGACCTTGCTGATAAAACAGGCTAATAAAAAAGAGCCAGCCAAAACCCACCAAAACCAAGATGGCGACGACAATGACCTCTCGTCACCCTCACTGCTACACTCCCACCAGCGCCATGACAGTTTATAGATGCCATGGCAAGGTCAGAAAGTTATCCTATATGGTCTAAAAGGGGAGGCAAGAATAATCCACCCCTTATTTAGCATATCATCAAGAAATAACCACAAAATGGGCAACCAGCAGCCCTCAGGGCTGCTCTATGGAGTCGTCGTTCTTTTATTCCTTTACTTTCTCAATAAACTTGCTTTCACTTTGCACTGTGGACTGGCCGTGAATTCTTTCTTGCTTGAGATCCAACAAACCTCTCTTGAGGTCTGGATCAGGACCCCTTTCCTGTAACAATATGTGGTATCTAAAGATGTCAAACCCATCCAGAGTAGAAGGGTGGATACCAGAGTCAGGGCGTGGGGGCAGTGAGGTGACAGGTGTTGGTCAAAGGGTACAAACTTTCTGTGGTAAGTACTGAGGCAGGAGAACAGGGTCTGGAGACAGGGACAACAGCAAGGTCTGAGAAAACAGCAAGGTCTGGGCGCAGGAAATCCAAGGCCAATTCGAGCTGCCTTCCCAAAGCTGGGTCAAAAGGAAAACACCTGGGTCTGGGGGCAGGGAACCTGAGGCCAATTAACACACACTTCTGAAAGCGGAACCAAACAGAAAACCCCATCTCCCCAAGCCAAGCAGCAAAAGATCAAAGGCTACTCTCCCTATAACGTCTTAGATGGAAAGGGAGAGTGCCCTGGATTAGCTGCAGCCAACACAGGGACCATCCCTTCATCTGCGTAGAGCGCCAATTCACCTCAGCCTTTAATTAGCCAGGGACCAAATCCTTCATCCAGATAAGGGGTAGCAGATAAGAACCTCAAACAGGGAACTTAACACCCTTGAGCCCTTGCTGGGTCTGCTCCCACCCTGCAGAGCTTTCTGTCTTGAATAAATCTCTGCTTTCGCTGCTTCGCTCCCGCGTTTCATTCCTCTGCTACTCTGTGTGTTTTGGTCAATTCTTTGTTCAAAATGCCAAGGACCTGAACAACTCATAGTGAAGACCCTCCATGAGTAACAGTAGGTTCTAGAGGCCTAATGGACAACACAGATACTACAGTTACTAATAACATATATTTGCAGTTTGCTCAGAGAGTAGATTGTGAGTATTCTCACCACACACACGAAAACAGTAAATGTGAGCTGGTGGGTATGTCAACAAGCTTGACTGTGGCAAACATTTCACAATGAATACCTATAGCAAATCATCACGTTGTACATCTTGAATATTTGAAAAATACATGGAATGAGGAGCTCCCTGTGCTCTCAGATATAATTATGCTCAGAGGAAACTGCTGAAGAGTCACAGGTAACTTACCACAGACGGAGAATCCCTTACTCCCTGGAGAGACCGGGGACAGCGATGGGACTGAGCAGGAGCTGGGTCACAAAATACCTATCCAGGCTCACAGGCTGGAAAGCAGCAGCAGTCCCCCATCCTGTGTGTGTGGTGGTGAGGGTGGGAGTGACGCTGTCAGGTCCTGAGCTGAGCGGTGGCCCACCAAGCCCCCTAGGCCTTCCCTGGGAGGGTCCTGCGCCTCAGGCCTCAGGGCACAGGGCGTGGCGGAGAGAATGGAAGGGGAAATAGACCAGGAGCTGAAAACTGTGTCAAATGAACCATGAGCTCTGGATAAGAAATCCATACTCAGAAAATTCCTACATATAAAAATACCTTTTAAATATCAAAAAATCTCATCTTGCCCTAATTTTTTGGTATAAATTTCATTTCAAAAACTTCCCACCAGTTGTGTGTGGACTAAGGAGAACACCATCTTTGGTGCAGTTTGGATGGAGTAAGTGGAAAATGGTAGGAAAGTGGCAGAAGGGCAAAGGCCCGGGCGAAGGCGCTGAAGAAATCTCAGGGGGAAAAGCCCCTGTGGCCAGGTTGGCCCTCACCTCGGAAGGACAGGATGTCTCCGGAAAGTGGGGTCCAGGTCCCACATTTACCACTTGTCTGAGTTTCTTCATGCAAGGCTTCCCCGCCCGAGGGGCCCTGTCAGAGCTGCAGTGCTGAGCCTGAGGCCACCGCCATTTCTCCCTCCTCCTCTTCACACCCTTCTTCTTGGGCCATGCCTCCTCCGCCCTTGGGTGCCTGTCTGACAGGGAGGGCTGTGGCGGTGGCTCATTCTGGAACCAGTATGTGCTGCTCGTGGGTGCTGCAAAGCCCTGCATGCCAGCCCCGCCCCAGGCCTCTGCTCACCAGACCCTTTCTTTCACCCACTTTGTTCTTCTGGCTGAGCTTTGAGGAAAGGAACTGCCTTTCAAACGCAGCCTGACTTAGGTCGGCCGTCTTTTTCTCTTTTCTTTTCTGTTTCTTGTCTGCATAGATGAGCTTTTCAGGACTGTGAAGAAAAGCAGAAAAAATTGTCTCGATTCAGCACAGATGGAATTGTACCATCAAATAGTTTCCGAAGATTAATGCAATGAACTCAATCGTCACTTTTGAGAAGGAACGACTGACCAGCCATCACTGGTGGCTGTCCCTCAATCTGCCTGCCCTGTCCGTACCTCTGCTGGCCCAATTCCTAGGGAGGTGGTGACTTGGGGACCCTTCCCCAGCCATGGCTGAGGCACCAGGTCCAGAGCTTCAATCCCTATGGCTGTAGTTGGGACAAAGGGGCTTCCAGGCAGCCTCTGAGTGCTCAAACCAGAAAGTCAGGCAGAACGGCGCCTCCACTTGCCAGCACTCACAGGAAAGCACAGAAAGCCCATGTGCAAAGAAAGAGAAACAGAGCAGGTTCACGAAGAGAAGTAATGGTGAGTGCCACATAGCCCCAAAGAGGCAGGGACCAGCCTCCCAGTCAGTCCCCCGAGCGCCTGGCTCCAGCCTCCCAGTCCGTCCCCCGAGCAGCCTGGCTCCCTTCCTGGCTTGGCTTCCATGACATACCAATGCTCTCTAACATATCGAGCCCCCTCCCGCCTTTCCTTTGAGAAGGATTCTGGCTTTTGTCATCAAACTGTCTCTGCCTCACCTCGCCACGTGCTCTCAAGTCCTTTTCTTACTTCATCAAATAGCCACACGAGGCATCCTCTGGGTGTGTCCTCCCGGAGGAATTTCACCAGGGCTGCCACCATTTCTGCCCCAGGAAGCCTAGCCCTATTGAGGGAAATAAGCCTTCTCTTTTCTTCCTCCATTAATTCATTCAACAACCACTTATTCATGATCTACTATGCTCCAGCTAAGTGCTGGGACCACCAAGATAGTAAGATGCAGTCCCTGCCCTCAAGGGGCTTGCTGATGGAGGAAAGGGCCAGTAAGGGGCTGGAGAGTTCTGTGTCCCTGTGATAACTGCCCTCTTGCCTGCACTGGAATGGCCAGTGACAGACAGAGGGAGCAAAGGCAGGCAACAGCCTGGCAGGTCAGGGAGTTAAGAATGTGCTGACTTGACCCAGAGGTTTTCATGGTTAATCAATCTTCCTTTTATTTAAGTTGATGGGACTTCTGTGATGAGGCCGGAAAGGGTGGTAGGGCCCAGATGGTGCCTCATGTGCCATGTTGAGGGCCTGGGCTTTGTCATAAGGGGAATGGCACTGAAGGGTTTCCAGTGGAGGAGTGCTGATCACTTTAAAAAGACCACTCTGGCTGCTGGGCGAAAAATGGATTGGAGGAGACCAGCCTGAAGGAAGAATACCAGCGGAGGAGCCAGAGGGGAGATGACGCCAACAAAGCAACATGAAGCCTTTGTCTTGTTGTGGGGGTGGGGGGGCTATGTAATTACTGGTGTTTAAATAAAAATGTTTGTTAAAATGATAAAGGAACCATAAAACCAGAAATAATACATAAAACTTCCAAATCACTAGGGTAAGCATAAACAAAGTAGCACTGTTTATTCCAACAAAACTCAGGATGGGGAATGAAAACAAAATATTGAGAGTGTATAACAGACCTCCTGTTTGTGTAGAATATAGAAGTCTGCACAGGCTAAAAGTCCTGCTGAAATAAATAGAGAAGAAAAAGCAGAAAATTTACTACCAAAATTAAGAATTTTAAAATCACTGGACAGCTTTAAAAAGAATTCCAGAGAGGCGAGAGCCTTCAGGAATGAGTTGACAATCTCCAACTCTTACCTTCCTCTGTGGGAGCATTTCAAGTACCAGGTCACCAATATTAAGTACCAAGGTAGAGACTGATTTCTCTGTGCTTCTAGCATCTTTGGTGGATTTTTGTCTTTGGGTCTGGTTGATGTCCTGACAGGTGGGTATTTAACCTTGTTCTCAACATCACCCTCCCGCTAAGAGGCAAGTCAAGCAATGTGCTTGGTTTCTCAATGGAGGACAGAAACTCTCCAGGCCCCGAGTACAGACAGCATTTCCCAAAACCTATTTGAAAAAGAATCAAGGAGGGGTGGGGAGGGGGAAGGGAGAGCATTAGGAAAAATAGCTAATGCATGCTGGGCTTAATACTTAGATGATGGGTTGATCACCTAGGCAAACATTTACCTGTGTAACAAACCTGCACAATCTGCACATGTATGCCAGCTCTAAAAATAAAAATTAAAAAAATCAAATAGAAATTCTAGATCTATAACTGAAAATAATAATTCAAAGGATGGGTTTAACAACAAACAGACACAACAGAAGAGATAATAAAATATCTGGAACCAAACATGGAAAGACAAAAAGGATAGAAAATATACAAAAATGATCAGAGACAGGGGATCAGTGAGAAAATCTAAAATATGTTTAACTGGAGTACCCAAAAGAGAGGAGAGGAGAATATGGCAGAGGGAACAAAGAGAAAATAACTGAAAACTTCCTAGAACTAACTAAAGACAACCTACAGATTCAAGAAGACCCATGAATTCCAAGTAGGATAAATAAAAAGAAATCCACATCTAGAAACATCACATAAAACTACAAAAAATCAAAGACAATGAGAAAATCATAAAAGCATCCAGGGGAAAAGACAGATTACCTTCAAAGGAACAACAGTAAGACTAGCAAGTGACTTCTCAATTGAAAGAGTAAAAGACAACAAGATATATGTTGAAAGAAAATAACTGCCAACCTAACATTCTTAATCCTGAAAACATCCTTTAAGAATGAAGGTGAAGTCCGAAAAGGCTAAATGTTGTATGATTCCAACCATATGACATTCTGTAAAAGGCAAAACAATGGATACAGCTAAAAAAAAAATCACTGGTTGCTAGGGGTTAGTGGGGAAGAGAGATGAATGGGCAGAGACAATTTTTAGGACAGTGAAACTATTCTGTGTGACACTGGAACAGAATGATGGATACATGTCATTGTACATTTGTCAAAACGCATAGAATGTACAACATCAAGAGTGAACCCTAATGTAAACTATGAACTTTGGGTGATAATGTCAATGTAGTTTGTACCACTGTGGTGCAGGATGTCAACAGTGGAGGAGGTTGTGTTTGTTGGGGGACAGGAGGTGTACGAGAACTCTCTAGGTACTTTCCACTCACGTCTGCTGTGAACATAAAATTTGTTACGAAAAATAAAGTTAAGTTGAAAAAAGGAGGGAAATAAAGATGTCTTAAAGCAAACAGATTTTTCATGAGCAGATGCACATTTATGAAAACTGTAAACAATATTTCTGTTGTTTATTTGTTGTGAGGTACATGGTAGAGTATAAATGACATGACATGAGACCTAGAATTTTCCCACAAAACTGTGAGCACAAAAGGGAAAGTGGGGTAAAGTGAGAGAGAGAGAGAAAGGCAAAATGTTGATGGCTGCTGAACCTGGGTGATAGGTACATAGGAATGTGTTGCACTCTCTACATTCAGTGCATTTGAAAATGTTTGTAATAAAATATTTTAAAAATGAGTCAGTGTAATTTTCCACAGGCGGGGCACAGAGGCTCACATCTGTAAATCCCCCAGTACTCTGGGAAGCCAAGGTGAGCGGATCACTTGAGGTCAGGAGTTTGAGACCAGCCTGACCAACGTGAAACCCCTTCTCTACTAAAAATATAAAAATTAGCCAGGTGTGGTGGTGGGCGCCTATAATCCCAGCTACTCAGGAGGCTGAGGCAGGAGAATCACTTGAACTTGAGAGGCAGAGGGTGCAGTGAGCCAAGATCATGCCATTGCACTCCAGCCTGGGTAACAGAGCAAGACTATGTCTCAAAAAATAAAATAAAATAAAATAAAAATGTCCACATTAACAAAGGAGAAAAAATTAAATATCAATAAATGCATAAAAATTAATATATGTCAAAATCTATTATCTAAAAAAAACTGATAGCAAACTAAGAAAATGAACTTCCTTAACTTACTAATGGAAATCTAAAAATAATGTAAAACACAAAAAACACCAAAAGCTTTCCCTTTGAGTTTAAGAAGAATACAATGAAGCCAATTTTCACCACTTCAACTTTGTGCCAGAGATCTTAACTGGTACTGTAAGGTAAGGAAAAGAAATAAAAGGTATAAGGAATGGAAAACAAGAAATAAAATTCTCTTTATTAGAAGATAATATTGTGGGCTGGGCAGAGTGGCTCACACCTGTAATCCCAGTACTTTGGGAGGCCGAGGCAGGTGGATCACCTGAGGTCAGGAGTTCGAGACCAGCCTGGCCAACATGGTGAAACCTCATCTCTACTAAAAATACAAAAATTAGCCGGGTGTGGTGGTGCACACCTGTAATCCCAGCTACTCAGGAGGTTGAGGCGGAGGTTGTAGTGAGCCAAGATTATGCCACTGCACTCCAGCCTGGGTGACAGAGCGAGACTCCATCTCAAAAAAATAAAAAGAATATTGTGTACATAGAAAATCCAAAAGACTCTATAGATGAAATGTCAGAATTCATAATAAAGTTTAGCAAGGTTGCCAAATACAAATTCAACATATGAAATCGTTTTTATTTCTATACATTACAATTACCTAGAAAATGAAATTATATATAATAATAAAATAGGAATAAGTAAGAATAAATCTAAACAAAGATCTACAAGACCTTTAGACAGTTTCTTATCCATAGTACTTACTGACATTTGGGGCTGAGTAATTCTTTGTTGTAGGATATTTGGCTGCATCCCTGCCCTATGTCCAGTAGATGCCTGTAGAACCCCATGCCCCTGACAACCAGAAATGTCTCCAAACATTGCCAGCTTCTTAATCAATTTGATTAAGAACCACTCCTTTACATAAAATAAGACCCACACTAATGGAGAGATATATACCATGTTCATGGATTAGAGGACTCAAAATTGTAAAGATGTCAATTCTCCCCAAATTGATCTACAGATTCAATGCAATCCCAATCAAAATCCCAAGTATTAGGTTGGTGTAAAAGTAATTGTGGTTTTTGCCATTACTTTTTTATTTGTTTGTATGTGTGTATGTCTACATGAAACTTGAGCTAATTATAAAATATATTGGTGTATTTGTTCTATCAGGTATCAAAACTCATTAAAAAGCTATAGTAAACAAATAGGCTAGGATAGAGAACCTGGAAATTAAGTATACATAACAGCAGTGAATTTGTATAAAAGTCTACACTGCAGAACAGCAGGGAAATGATATTTTCAATAAATGGTACTGAGGAAAATGGGTATCATTAAAGGGAAAAAATTCAATTGGGCCCCACATAAAATACATACAAAAAGCAATTCTAACTGTATTATAAGCCTAAATTTGAAAAGCAAAACTATAAAAGCAGGCCAGGCACGGTGGCTCACACCTGTAATCCCAGCACTTTGGGAGGCCAAGGCAGGTGGATCACCTGAGGTCAAGAGATCAAGACCATCCTGGCCAACATGGTGAAACGCCATCTCTACTAAAGATACAAAAATCAGCTGGGTGTGGTGGCGCACACCTGTAGTCCCAGCTACTCAGGAGGCTGAGGCAGGAGAATCACTTGAACCCGGGAGGCAGAGGTTGCAGTGAGCCAAGATTGTGCCACTGTACTCCAGCCTGACGATAGAATGAGACTCCATCTCAAAAAAAAAAAAAAAGGCCATACAGCTTTTGGAAAAGACATCTTAAAATAATGTATAAAAAGCACTAGTTATAAATATTTGACTATATCAAAATTAAGAGATTGCACCACTGCATTCCAGCCTGGACGACAGAGCGAGACTCAGACTCAAAAATAAATAAATAAATAAATAACAAATGTGGATTGTGGAAACGAAAATACCAAACTGGATTGTTCATAATAGCCAAAATATGGAAACAACCCAAATGTCCACAACAGTGGATTGCTTAAATGATGGCATAGTCAAATATAATGGAATATAATCAGAAAACAGAAGTTAATACACTGGAGCTATATGCAACAACAGAAAGGAATCTGAAAAACATAATGGTGAGCAAAAGCAGTCACACAATGAACTGTACATGTACAAACCCTCAACAGATGAATTTTATGGTATGTAAGCTGTATCTTTTTTTTTTTTTTTTTGACAGTGTCTCACTCTGTTGCCCAGGCTGGAGTGCAGTGGCATGATCTCGACTCACTGCAACTTCTGCTTCCCGAGTTCAAGCGATTCTCCTGCCTCAGTCTCCCGAGTAGCTGGGATTATAGGCATCTGCCATGATGCCCAGCTAATTTTTGTATTTTTAGTAGAGATGGAGTTTCACCATGTTGGCCAGGCTAGTCTCAAACTCCTGACCTCAGGTGGTCCACCTGCCTCGGCCTCCCAAAGTGCTGGGATTACAGGTGTGAGCCACCGTGCCCGGCCTGTAAACTATATCTTAATAAAGATGTTTTTTAAAGAGTCAGTCATAAAAGAATAAATGCTTTCAGGTTCTGTTTATATGAAATTCAAAAATACGCAAGATAAACTATATTGTTTAAGGATACAAAGTTAGTTGATAACACCACAGGGAGAGCAAGGAGGTGAACACTTATAAAGTGAAGGGAGCTCTGGGGCAGGGAGAAGACTGTCTCGGGAGGGGGCAGGCTCCCTTTCTTGAAATGGCTGGTGATTCCACAGGACTGACTCAGGGACTCGGTAAGCTGTTTATGTTTTATTCTGTCCTCTACATATATTTCATAATACAAAGGTGATGATAATAATAATAAAACTATAAACTACTAAAAGACAAAAGTGTGACTAGTTACAAGAGCTTCAGTAGGAAATAAAGTAAGTTGCAAGTTAAACAAATATTTGTTTGTTCTGCTCATCTGTACCTGTATTTGTAAGTTTTACTCCTGGCTCTTGCAGAGGCTTTATGCCACTCTTTTGGAATCACACAGTGTGAAGTGAAAGTGAAGTAGGGCGAGCTGGCATGCAGCCTGGCCTTCTCTATTTCTTCAAGTTCTTTTATGGAATGTCGTTTTCCTACAGGAAGATAAAAAATCGAAATCAACACTCTTCAAGAACTCCAGTTGCTCTTGAAGGAGTGAGAAATCACTGGACAATTAGCAGTCTCAAAAAAATGAGGCCCAGTGATCACAAAGCACCTGTCTCACACTGAAGACCAGTTCTCCTCTCTTCATCCACCTCTTGCTGTCTTTGAAACAGAGGATCAACAAATGGTGGGACTGTAACCTACAAGAGAAATGAGACTCTTTGAGTACCAGAGTGCAGTCTGTATTAAGCTTTTAAAATGTGTCCCACATAAAGATGGGAACAATAGACCCTGAGGACTACAAGAGTGGGAAGGGCAGGAGGGGGCGAGGGTTGAAAAACGACCTATTCGGGACTCTGCTTACTACCAGGGTGACAGATTCAATTGCACCCCAACCTCAGCACCCCAACCTCGTACCCCAATATACCCGTGTAACAAACCTGTATGTGTACCCCCGAATCTAAAAGTTGAAATTTAAATAAATAAAATCTGACCTAAACATTCAAGTATGCCCTTACTGTATACCAAAGCAGCTGAGAAGAAAGGCCCCAGAATGTGCCAATCTACACCTCAGATGAGGATGTCGTACAGAGCCTTAAATGGCTGAACTGAGGGAGGGAGGGCCGCCCAGATAGAAGAGACGCACTTCTGTTAAGCGCTCTACTGTGTCATTGCATCAGCCAGTAAATATTTGTGTTGCCATTGTGTGCCACATCCAGGCTAGATCCTGTCTTCAAGGATCTCCTGGTCTAGACAGCCTAGTCATCCAGTGACAATCCAGTCCTGAGAGGGGCCCTCTCAGGATCCTGTAGGAGCAGGGGCAGTGCTAACTTAGCCTGGGAGGACGCATGCCTCCTAGGGAAGCTGACAACTGGTCCGTAAGGGCCTGTGAGAACAGAGGGTCAGGTGACCAGAGCTATGAGTTTGTGTCAAAGGGTAGGGACATACAGAAGTATTTTTTCTTCCCGCTCCTGATAAGCCTTAGACAGAGGGACTATTTTTCCCCTCCATTTCCCCCACAGCACTCATCCCAGTGCTGGACTGAAGTGCTAGGTAAACAATTACTGAATAAACTAGGCAACATAATATGTACTGCCTCCAGCACCCCAGATGCTGACATTCTACCCAGAACCAGAAGAATCTGTTCATCTTCATATGACTGACCTGGCTTGGTTTTCTGGGAGAAGCAAAAGAAACCACTTCCATCTTCAGAGCCATACATATTTTTTAAAAAATTAACAGTCATATCAGGTGGCTACTTCTGCTGCATGGGAGCGAAAAACTGAAACCTACATTTCTCCATTTTAACTCCTGTATTGGCAGTTTAAAAATCTGAAGACTCATTATAACCTCAAGTATTAGCTCTCCCGGGCAGCCTGTGCTGACATCCTTCCTGTATCTCCAGTAGAAAGGAGTGTTCCCTCCCACGTCCCATAATCCCTGTGCTGACTTCTGTGACACTCGCCACGCTCCACTGCACAAGCTGTCCACACCTCTCTCTCTCCTTCTTGTGCTTCAAGTTTGCTGAATGTGAGTAAATGAATGAACAAATGATCACACGTATCCATGCCTTGTGCACAGTGTAAATTCCACAGGAGTCTAAATTACTTTGAGTTCCTATTCTAAAACTCAAAGGAAATGCTTTTGTAGATTTTTTTTTAATAAATAGACAATAACTACAAGACTTCTAAAATGACTAGGTTTTCCCCCACTCCAGAGCTCCTAAGAATAAAAAACCAAAGAAACCTGCTCTACCTTTCCATAATTTGGTTTCTTTTTCTTCATATAAAAGGATCGTAGGCCGGGCACAGTGGCTCACACCTGTGATCCCAGCACTTTGGGAAGCCAAGGCAGGTAAATCACCTGAGGTCAGGAGCTCAAGACCAGCCTGACCAACATGGCGAAACCCCATCTCTACTAAAAATACAAACAATTAGCCAGGCATGGTGGCACATGCCTGTAATCCCAGCTACCTGGCAGGCTAAGGCAGGAGAACTGCTTGAACCCCGGAGGCAGAAGTTGCAGTAAGCCAAGATCACACCATTGTACTCCAGCTTGGGCAACAAGAGCGAAACTCTGTCTCAAAGAAAAATTTAAAAAAATTTAAAAAGGGATTGTATACTTCAGGATTATAATGGTCTTCACATATAATTTCCTTCAGATATAAAATATACTTAAGGGAAAAATCACTAGATACAAACTGTTTTGCAAGATTCATATTATAAAAGCCAAATACTGCATTTCATTTTTATATAAAAGCATAGCTTCAAAGGGTTGGAAGAAACTGCTGAAGTAGTTTGGACTGCAATGAGACTCCACCACCTTCTGGGAGAAGTAATCATCTAGCTTTAGTCTAAAGTCATCCATGGGCCTTTCAGAACTTTCTGCTCCATGAGGCAGGTACTTTTTTTGGTAATTTTAACCTCAAGAAAGTCCGTCCTTAGGTTGAGTTTAAATCTGCCTTGTAACTTGCAGGTACAGACACTAGTTCTACACATCTAATTCATCGGCTAATGTCGGCCTTTAAAATACTTAAAAGGTTCATTCCCCCTCGTGTCATTTCCTTGGGCCAAATACCCCACCTCTTTCCAGTTTTCTTCCTATAAAGTGGTGTCAAGACTCAACTCTTTTCTAAAGGTTTTGCAACTGATGAGGGTCCCTTCAACAGTGTGACATCAGGAATGACAGGTTAAGGACAGGATAGACCAAGACTCTGATGCTTCCCACTCTAAGCACAGCCTCTCTTGCCTGAGAGATGTATGTTTTCTTGGAATCCAGCTCATATGGTTGATTCACAACGACTTTACTGACATTTAAAATTACTTGGACTTCAACACATGCCATTTCTAAGATCTTCCTCCCTATACCCATGAAATCACATTTCTGGACACAAATATAAGACTTTGCACTTTGGAGATCTGGATTCAATCTTGAGCTCTGCCCCTTAAGAGTGTGTAGGAAAAAGTATTTAAGGTAAATATTCAGAAATTGTGCTCAGTAAATATACTTAAATGTTCTAATATTTCAGCTAACCTACTCTAGGGTCTCACTGTCACTCAGGATGGACTGCAGTGACACGATCATGGCTCACTGCAACCTCCGCCTCCCAGGCTCAAGTGATCCTCCCACCTCAACCTCCCAAGTAGCTGGGACTACAAGTGCACAGAACCACACCTGGGCTTTTTTTTTTTTTGTACAGACGGGTTTTTGCCATGTTGCCCAGGCTGGTCTTGAACTCCTGGACTCAAGCAATCCATCCACCTCAGCCTCCCAAAGTGCTGGGATTACAGGGGTGACCCACTGCACCCAGCCACTACTCTAGATATCTACTAGATATGTGGGGGTAAGAAAGATCCAGTAGTGCACACCTAAAGCTAACAGATTTGTATTTGATACTGCAAATAGAGAGACCCAAATTCTGAGAGCTGACCTCAAAATAAAAAAAAATCTCTAAATTAAGAAACCAAATTTTTGTAAAGCCAAACTGTAGAACAGAGTATAGAAACTGTTAGTCCTAATACCTACTGGTTGGCTAAGTCAGCCATGCAATACCATTCTCCTCTGCCCACTTCCTACTAGAGAGATGAGAAAGCCACAGTGGCTTTCCAGGCCCTGCTTATGGCTAGGACTTGCTTCATGACCCAGTCCTGGCCAATGAGACCTAAGGGAAAGTTGGCTAGGGGCCTCTGGGGACTCTTTTTGCTTCCTGCAAAGGAGTAGGGTAAGAGAAGAGGCCCCTGGCACCATTCCTTACCCCTTCCTCCTGCCCTGAATGAAGACCTAATGTCTGGAGCTATAAGCAACCATCAGGCAAATGTGAGAATGATGGGGATAAACTGAAAATACTAAGGATAGCAGAACAGAATAGGAAAAAACCTGACATTGTTATGCTGTCAGAACCCACCACGAGACCACCTACCTCTTAATTTCTTGTGAAGTAAATGCCCTTATGGTTTAAGCCACAGTAACTCCATTAACGTCTACATAAAAATCATTCCTGATAAATCTAGTTCCAAATCAACACTCCTATCCCCTCCAACCTCAGGCTTAAGAATGCAATACGTGTGTTACAATTCAATGAACTCATCTTAAATATAAAAATAAGCTGGAAACTATTTGTATAACCAGTGAAATTGTTAGACCAACTCTTCAAATTATACTCTATTTGAAAAATAAAACATCAGTACCATTTTATGTCTGTGCTGTAAATAATATTCAACATTCTCGTTTCATTTTAAGCTCTTTATATGAAATTACTTTTTCCATAATTCTCTGCTGAAGAGGCTCTGCAACATTTTCAACCCATTTTTTATGTAACATCTCTTTTCTTCTTTCCTTAAAAGTATCCACATGCTGAAAATACATATCCAATCTCTAGTGAAGTGATACAAAAAAGGAAAATAAATTATAAAGAAATGTTTCATTTACTATCATTCGAGTAAGGGGGAAAAAAAAATTTGTTCTCTCTACTAAGCTCTCAGCCACATTCGGGTTGCAAAGTCCCAGTATAAGATAACTGAAGCACAGAATAAAGTGCAGTAAGAGAAGCTGGGAACACAGAGCAGAAGAACTCATATAAACTTCTAAACCATAACTGTGCCTTCAGATTTAACCACATCTAACTCATGAATCAGATTAAGCTATTCCTAACTCATGAAACTCTTGTTTCTTTTTCAGGATTTCCAAGCATTCCCTGGTCACCCACTCTGTGTCTAGCCTTCACCATCAGGAAAGTCTGGGACAAAACTGGTAGAGTAGAAAGCGCACTAGACTTTGACACCTCTCTCTGGCCTGTGAAAGAGAGGTAATCCCATCTACCTCTTTGGATGCTTAAATGGGAATTTATGTGCACTTTCTTTACACATTGTAAATCACAATTCAAATGTCAAAGTTTTATTCTTTTTTGTTTAAAAGACAGGGTCTCACTCTGTCACCCAGGCTGGAGTATAGTGGCATGATCACAGTTCACTACAGCCCCAACCTCCTGAGCTCAAGCAATCCTCCTGCCTCAGCCTCCTGAGTAGCTGGGACTACAGGCGTGTGCCACCATGTCTGGCTAATTTTTTAATTTTTTTGTAGTGACAGGGCCTCACTATGTTGCCCAGGCTGGTCTCAAACTCTCAAACTCCTGGTTTCAAGCAATACTCTTGCTTCAGCCTCCCAAAGTATTATTATAACTCCGTCTCTCTCATTGAAATTAAATGCCCCTTAAGCTAATTTCGTAGTGACTATCAGTTACTGATTGGTCATAACCCTTAAAAGCTTATTTTGTTTCTAGTGGTTTTACTGCAATGTGGGAACATATGAGAAAGAGGCAAGTGTGAGTAGGAAAGAATTTCTATTCGGTACCAGGACGAAGAGAAGGAGCAATTGGAACAACTTCTCAGATCCCTTCAGGACAGATCCAAGTGGGATCAGGGACCTTTTAGTGATCCTGCAAGAAGGGGGCATGGCCTCAGATGCATGTAGTACAAACAAGTAAATTAGAGGATCCTCATTACTCCTGCAAAATGAGTCTCTTGGATCACGGTGACATAAACTCTTGGCCATGTTGTTCTGCACACTCTTGCTCCCCTAGAACATATGTAGAATGCAGCGTGGAGCCAACTCTTACCTTCACAATGGAATTTTCTTTAAATAATATTGCACATACTGCTTCATCAATGTCTTCTCTAGCTAATACCTAAAATTACAGAATTGAATATTAAGATGTGAATCCTGAAGAAACAAACTACAATGACAAAACTCAGTGTACTTTACCAATAGTTTTAGTGTAAATCTTGAGGCTTATTTGGTAACATAAAAATATGGAAAATTTCTAAACCCATTCTCTGTGAACTTGTCAGCCAGGCTCGAGTGATTAATTCCAAGTCAATCTTATTTCATCCAATAAATCCCTACTCATTTTTC
This sequence comes from Homo sapiens, assembly GCF_000001405.40. Classification (NCBI taxonomy): domain Eukaryota; kingdom Metazoa; phylum Chordata; class Mammalia; order Primates; family Hominidae; genus Homo; species Homo sapiens. The sequence continues at coordinate 24,177,574 of NC_000002.12, read as the reverse complement.
AGCACCCCCCCACCCAGACTATTTAAAAAAAATCCCTGATAGCATATTATTAAATTACGTTTTAAAGCACTAAAAAGCTTACTAAAGGAATCCTCTTTTCAGGCATTCAGTAGGTGTTTTTTGTTTGCTTGCTTTTTGAGACAAAGTCTGGCTGTCACCCAGGCTGCAGGGCAGTGGTATAATCCTGGCTCACTGTAACCTCCGCCCTCCAGGTTCAAGTGATTCTCCTGCCTCAGCCTCCCAAGTAGCTGGGATTACAGGCACATGACACCACAGCTGGCTAATTTCTGTGTTTTTAGTAGAGACAGAGTTTCACCATGTTGGCCAGGCTGCTCTCGAACTCCTGACCTCAAGTGATCCACCCACCTTGGCCTCCCAAAGTGCTGAGATTATAGGCGTGAGCCACCCCACCCAGCTAGTAGGTGTGTCTTAAAGGGCCCTTGAAGTTTCCCGCCTTTTGCTAGATCTCTTCATAAGTCAAAAACCACAGAAAGTTCCCTTTAGTTCAACTGGTCCAGAATCTCAGAGCTAATTAGTGAGAGCTCATGGCCTCCAAACAACATCATCCACATCTAGGGACTTGCTATTTCCATTATGAGTTTGGGTAAAGCTGATGCATTTTAATCCCCACTTTAGGGCTTTTTCAGTTGGATCACTATGCACTAATCTCTAGCTTTTATTCTTATAGGACTAAGTGTGAACAAATGAAAAGGCAATGAAAATCCAGTATCTGGAAGAGATAAATTGTTACATTAAAAATTATTGCTGATGAAAAATGATACAGGTTCTTAGAACTGTTATTCAATTTCTGATTCTTCTTTCTATTCTGCCACACTGAATGCATCACAACAAACTAAACCCCAAACTCAAATACCAAATCTGTGAATAAGAGAAATCTCAAAAAAGGAAAGTTGTTCTTTTTACCCACATATTTAATAGCTTCACATGAGATCTAAAATGATATTCAAACAGCTGCCCAGGTCTTCCTAAAATAAAGCTCTCTTTGTAATAGGAACAGGATCTTGCTTTAAAGCCTTCTCAGACTTATTTTAAGAAGACAGGCCAGGCAGGGTGGCTCACGCCTGTAATCCTAGTGCTCTGAAGGCCCAGGCAGGAGAATTACTTGAGCCCAGGAGTCTGAGGTTACAGAGA